>NC_000004.12:132254714-132557744 GCF_000001405.40 Homo sapiens | reverse complement strand
ATGATGCTTAACTGCTATTTTTGTAAAAAAAATGCACTCTTATTTCCTCCCACCTGACTTTAAAATGGCTGTTTGGAACATGACCTGTTTGTCAGAAGATTCCAATATTTAGTTTTGTACTTATAAATAAAAGAAAACATCAAAAGAGTTTTTCATTATTATACCTTTAATTTTGATATAAAGTATACAAATCATCTGGGCCTAGGAAAATCCAGACGTAAGAGAATAAAAAGCATTAAGGTATATTGATTACGTCGTTATGCTGCAGTTCTAGAATTGACTATTTGCAGCATAAATGGAAAATGAACACAATTCATGTGTATTCGTGATAATTGCCCAAAAGAAGCTGCCTCTGAGTTTATAAAGTTGATTCTGTTCACAGCAAAAATAATGATGAAGAATTTTAGGTACTCAATTTGTGCCTATTCCTTATAATACCAGTTATTTTAAAACTCAAGTGTTTTAGTATGTCTGCTATCTGCCTAAAAGCATAAGAAAAACTTCAGAAATATCAAATAATGGCATACATACTTTTTGAATAAAAGAATTCCTTCATATAAAGCATTTACCATTCAGCATAGGAATACAAAAGAATTTTGATATTTCAAATGGAAGTCTATTTGAATGTAAAAAAGTTACACGCACGCATATATTTTTTCCTTAACAATAGGTATATATTATGAATACACTTTGCTTTATTTATGGATTCACTTAAATTATAATTTATATTTCTTTTTAAGTAGTTTTTTCATATATACATCTGTGTTTTCTAGGTTTAAAATGTTTAATTGATTATATCTGTTTTTAAATGCATGCTTAATAACAGAACACTTAATCATCAAAAGAAAATAGTGGTAATTATTATTCTTATGAAGGATCTTATATATTCTTATTAAGGAATACTTTGAGAAAGAAATAATATAATATAAATATAAACAATTTGTAAATTTAAGTTAGAAAATCAGTGGATGTATGCTGCATCTATCTTTATTGTTACATAAAGATCCAGCCATGGGCTTACATACAGTTTTGGACTCAGCTAGTTCCTAACCCAATTCTGAAATGTGTTGCTCAGATTCTTTTTTCTGTCCACTACAGTTTGTGGGTTACATCATCTTTCTTCCTGTTTTGTTCTGGCTTATTATCGTGTTTTGTATAGGACTTTTTGCCTCAAATATTCATGAGTCTCCTTCACGCCAATGGTCATCCATCACTAACAACCAGTCTATTTAAATTTGTCCCTGACACTCCTGCATTAAGTTTGGTACTTCCTACTGACCTAACCTATGATGACATGTAAGCTACAGATGAATGAATGAATATGCTAGACTTTATGCAACTTCAGTGTTCTACTGTTTTGTAGAGTTCACGTTTCTGGATTAGAACTGAGTTCACTGCAACCTGGCACTTTCCCCTCACACAGAAATGCGGTGAACTTCTCTTTCAAAGGATGACATTTATTGAATGGTCAGCTATTTCTCAGACACTGTCTTTACCCAAAGGAAAACGTCATCCACTTGTAGTGTCCAGTTCCTCTTTTACTTCTTGTTCCCCAAGGAATAAAAATTACTTAAACCCAAGTCTCTCTGAATTGCAACAGAATTCCAAATGCCCTTGTGAAAACTCAAAGATTAGGCTTGAAACAGATATATTTTTATATATTCTCCTTTCTTGTGATTTGGCAAATGTTGCAATAACTAGAACAAATGACAGAAAAAAATCTCAGGCAGACATTTTTATTTTTTCGCTGAGTGGTATCAAAAGGTGCCATATAGACTCCAGTTCATACCTTGTAAGATAAATAGATAACAGATAAATATTCCAAGAAAATAATAAAAGAAAAATCTTTAGAACTCAAGAAAGATGGGCATATGTAGACTATATTGTCCTAGAGAATATCTCCCAAGGTTAATTAAAAGAAATTACCTAATTAACTAAACCAGCATTCACATTAAGTTTAGAAAAATATTCTTTTACATGTTTGATTGACAAACTAATTTAAAGATTAGTATAGGAGTTCGACATATGTGAATAAAAATATTAGCTTTATCACTAAGAGTTGGTTTACCTGCTTGTCAAAAATGAGCATCTTAGTACCTAATCACAGAAAGAATCATGTCTCACCCAAACACAGGCTGCAATGGAAAAGCATAGGTTTCCTTTAGGTGGCCAAGTGTGGTAAAACTAATAGCATAGAGAAGTAAAGAAGAATGGATACCCTCTGAAGGTGATCTGATTTCAAAAGTGAGAAAAGAATTAGAAGCCGAATGCTTCACCCAAAGTTACCAAAGTAGTAAGAAAAGGATTGTACAAATTGGTGATTTTCCCTTCCTGGAGAATATTATTTCCAAGAGTATTAGGGTTCTCCAGAGAAAGAGATCCAATAAGACAGACAGATGATAGATAGATAGACAGATAGATAATGGATGGGTAGATAGATAGATAGATAGATAGATAGATAGATAGATAGATAGATAGATACACAAAAGGAAATTTATGAGGGGAATTGAATCACATGATTATGGAGTGAAGAAATCCCATGACATGCCTTCTGTAAGCTAGAGAACCAGGAAAGCCAGTACGAGTGTGTTTCCAGAGAAATAGGCATGAAAGATATGTAGGAGAAAAACAACATTTTATAGGTTGGATATGGAGACAAGAGAAGCAAAATCTTGCCAACACTGACTTACTTATAATCTTTATAATATTTGTCTTCATGAAAATACTTCATTTTGCTATGTGAAAATAATATTAAACATTTCATGTGGAAATGTGAATGTCCATGGCCTCCCTAGATCTCTGATTATATGGGTATAGATAATGGTAGTATTCATATTGTAGAATTAAGTAATATAAAGCAAAGGTTATTCTGGGGCAGGGTGTTGAATTATGTTACTCTGAAATAATTGCTAACTATAGAAACCACTTTGTTACATAAACTAGTTTATTTTGTTTCATACTGTTATGGGAACTTCCATTGCTTACTTACGTGCAAGATTAAAATATTGAAAATTAGCATTTCTTAAACTTCAAGCTGTTGCCTTAGAGTGAAAGCCTATCTTCAAAAGTCAGAAAGTCAGTTTAGTAAAATTGTAAGTTGTATCCTCTGAAGCCAAATTGTGTGTGTTTGAATTGTAATTGCCAATTATTCACAAATAATTTACCTTTGTCAGCCCCATTTCTCTAACTTAATAAATTAATACATACAAGAATCTTAAACATGGTTCCTGGACACTTGTTAAAAATAGTGAACTCTTAACAATTATTATTCATTTTTCCTGGTTGTGTCTAGCTTAACAAATATGGTGTTACACATTACCCCTGCTGTGAGTACGTCACAGTAGTGGACACGCAACCTCCATTCTTTCTATTTCAATCTACCCTGTTAGTCAAAAATACATTTGCTTTTACACATCACAGTCTCCATTGTTCTTGAACTGGAATGCCTCAAAGATGCACTAAAAATCTATTATTTTCTCAAATTATTAAAACATGCCTATATAATACTGCTTCCTGGTACTCAACTGAAATCTCATTCTGATACTTTTATCTTAAATATTCTTCTAGCTTCTTATCCAATAGAGGATAGGCTTTAAAACTCCTGAGTTTTTATTTTTAATTGTTCATTATAAAATGAAGTCACATAACTTCAATAGGGAAATTTAAATTATAGCATTCACAGATCATTGCTTAGAAGATGCATCAAGAAGACAAAAAATACATTGTTGGTGGGAATGTAAATTACTGCAGCCTTTATGAAAAACAATGTGGAGGTTTCTCAAAATCTAAAACTGAAACTAGCATCTGAGTTGACAGTCCCTTGACTAGCCTTCAACCAAGGAAAATAAAATCAGTATATCAAAAAATATACCTGTACCCTCATTGTTATTGCAGCACTATATACACAGCTAAGATATGAAGTCAACCTAAATGTTCCTCAACAGAGGAACAGATAATGAAAATGTGTCCTATATATACAATGGAATACTATTCGGCCATAAAAAATCCTTTCATTCACAACAACAAGGATGAGCCAGAAGGACATTATGTAAAGCAAACTAAGTCAGGCATAGAAAACTAAATACCGCATGTTTTCACTCATATGAGAGCTAAAAAATAATTACGTTTATGGAGGTAGAGAGTAGAGGTGTGGGTATTAGAGGCTGGGAGGGGTACTAAGAGGAGGCTGGTTAATGGAAATGAAGTTATAATTACATGGGAGGAGTAAGTTCTGGAGTTCTGTGGAACCACAGGGTGATTATGGTTAACTATAATTTAATTGTATATTTTCAAAAAACTAGAAGAATTTTGAATGCTCACAACACAAAGAAATAATAAAAGTTTTAGGTGATGGATATGCTAATTATCCTGATTTCATCATTACACATTCTATTCTCATATCAGTCTATCACTCTGTATCTGATAAATATATACAATTATTGTGTATCAACTAAAAATAAAGAAAAAAATTAAATGACTGGTTAAAGGTCAGTTTAACAAGCAGTTAATCCTCACATTTTCACCCATTTCTACTTGTCCCATCCTCCCATAACATAGGTGACTTCCCCTTTCCAACTGCAGCAAGAAGACCAGAGGTTTACCAATGAAGGATATAAAATAAATCCTCTAAACTACCAGACATCAGCCCTTGGTTAGAGCAGGTGCACCATTTTGAAAATAGGAATACTCATTGAATACTGAGATCCCCAGGTCACTGTCTCACTAGTTTCTAAGACACATGCAGCTAAGACTACACGCTTCAGACAGGAAAATATAAAAGTTTCCAGGGCCTCTGATAAATACAAGAGAAAATGACTAAAGCTACTTATGCCAATAGGTTGTCTGAAGACCTATCTCAACCATGACCCGAACCTCATTGTCAAATCAGAGCTTCCAATCAGGTTGCTAACACTCCAATAGCTGATAAATATGAGCAGACACACAAGGATCACCAACTACACAGCTTCAATTATAAGATATAGACCCAAACAAAGGAAAAACAAATAAGAGAAGAAGAGCAACTTGGAGGAAATGGTGACTAGGCAGAAAGACATTTTTATTTCAAGAACTGTAACCAATATCCTCAGAGAGAAAAGAGAATATATTGTGTCCATAAAACAAAAATAGGCTGCCAAAAAGAGAGTGAAAGAAAAGAAAAAAGAAACAACATTCAGAAAGTGAATTTGAAATAAAAGAACATGCAATACTTTAGATAGGGTAATTACTTTCAAGCAGGCCAAATACAGTTATAGGAACACTCTGTATATCACCTGATCTTGTTGATATCAGATATTGTGACATGCATTACCTGTTAAGGATCTATTATATTTGAAACTGGCTAACACTACAGAACTATGATGCAGATTTCCTTTAATCTTACCTTAGCATTTTAGAGAAAACGATTTACTTGGTAATAAAAGGGAATGAAATGTTTTAAATTTTCAGACAAAAATTCAGATTCATAGGAACAAAATTATCAAGTGGTCTATGAAACCTTTATAATTTTAAAAAGTTTTTTTGTGTTTCTCCCTATTTCCCATGTTTCCTTTGGTGTTGTTTATTTTCTTCTATCTTTATATTCTTTAGCATTACTGAAGCATTACTGAAGCCCTAATAAACCACTATGGGTTTGTGTTATGTACATATTTTAACTTATGTCTATTATATTTATTACCCTTTATTTTTTATTTTTATTTATTTATTTATTTATTTATTTATTTTTTTGAGGCGGAGTCTCGCTCTGTCACCCAGGCTGGAGTGCAGTGGCGCGATCGCGGCTCACTGCAACTTCCGCCTCCCGGATTCAAGCGATTCTCCTGCCTCAGCCTCCTGAGTAGCTGGGTCTATGGGCGTGTGCCACCACGCCTGGCTATTTTTTTTTTTTTTTTGTATATTTTTAGAAGAGACAGCGTTTCACCGTGTTAGCCAGGATGGTCTCAATCTCCTAACCTCGTGAAGCTCCCGCCTCGGCCTCCCAAAGTGCTGGGTTTACAGGCGTGAGCCACCACGCCCGGCACCCTTTATTCTTTTTTCTTTAGATTTGCCTTTAATTTTTTTCTCCAACATTTTGAATTGAATGCTTAATTTGTTTTGAACTTCTTATTTAATATAATCGAATGCATAAATTTCTTTCAGTTCGACATATGCTAGAGTCATACATTTATTATTGCAATACCTAAGCATGTCTTAATTTTTGTTTCCATTGCAACATAAATGAGATTTATTACATAACTCATTTCCCAATAGCATTGTTTTAGCTATGTTTTTGTTAATAATTGTTGTAATTGACTATATCAAAGAATATATTGTGTGATATTAATCTTCGAAGTTTTAGGGTAATAAGGCCTAATTTATTTGAAGTGCTTGAACTTATTAATGTTAAAAATTATTTGCTTATTTTTCTCTGCTTGATTTATCAATTTCTAAACATATATTAATGTCTCCAGCTAAACGTGTTTATTTCTCCATAAAGTTCTGCCAGTTTTTGCTTGACATTTAATCTGCACTGATGTATTTATATATTTAAAACGTTTGTATAATTTTGTTCTACAATTCCACTAATCAATGTGTGATGTCATTTAATGTCACCGAGTATTTTTCTCTATATTTTATTTTGGCAGATGTTAAGAATATTACTCCTTCATTCTTATGGTTTATTTTTATGTGACGAATAGTTTTCAACTCATTTATTTAGAAATTGTTTTTATGTCTTGTTGATATATGTACCTTGAAGAGGCCACATACAGCTAGACTTGACAGATCTGTCTAATAGTCAATGAGTTTAAAACTTTCATATTTCCAGATGGTTCTTGACACAGGATGGTTTGACTTAATGACTCTATGATTTTAGTATGGTGCTATATGCACTCAGTAGAGACGGGTACTATAGTCTCTCAATGGTAGGCAGTGACAGTGAATGGTAGCTCCCAGTTAGCTATGATACCCTACAGTGTACTGTGTTGCCAGATGATTTTGCCCAAGTGTAGGCTAATGTAAAGGTTCTGAGCATGGATAAGATAGGCTAGGCAAAGCTATATCATTTGGTATGTGTATTAAATGCGTTTCACTGTTCGATATTTTTAACTTAACAATGGGTCTATCAGAATGAAATCGTAAATTTTATTGAATTTTTCTTTTGTTCTTGCTTGCTTTACAACTGAGTAGATTATTATTTTCTTTCTGTGGTTTGTTAAATTTTACTTTTCTAATTTTGTTTTGTTTCTTTAAGTTTTCACAAATAATAATGCTTAGTTGCATTCTTTGGTCTCTTAAAATGCTCAGAACTTATACTTTCCCCATCACAAGACAAGTACTTTAGTATACGTGCTTATATTCTCTTCTTCCAAAACTCTTCACCCTGTTTAGATTGTGTAGATTTTTAATTTTAGGTCCAAATGGAAATATATTTTTTATCTTAGTTTAATTTTTTATTTTTTCTGTGATGGTAAACGTAACTAACCTTGAATGAGCCCTATATTTCCAGTTCATTCAATTGCTCATCTCAATAACTCACCCACAACTTTTCTTTCCTCTAACCTTCAAAATTTTACATTCTATTTTGATTCTCAGCTGATGACTTTGTTTTCTATTTCACTGCTTCACTGATAAAAGTGAAACAATATGATTTTTATATGAATTGTAATGAAACAATACATCAATCTAAGAATTGACAATTTAAAATATTTATATAGATTTCTTTAATGTATTTAAACAATGTTCTGTAGTTTTCAGCAAACAATCTTTCATGTCTTTTGCTAGATTTATCCTTAAGTATTTTTTAAATTTTAATTATTTTGGAAGTACAATTCTTCATTCAATTTGTTTCCAATTATTTGATAGTTTTAATATTTTGACTTCGCATGTTGCAGCCTTACCTAAGTCATTTATTGATTCTTGTAGTTTATTTTTGTAGATTCCCTAAGATTTTCTATATACATATCACATTGTCTGCAAATAAAGATATTTATTTTTCCCTTTCAAATCGATATGTTCTTTATTTCTTGTTACTGTCTTCTTGCACTGGCTAAGACATTTTTACACATGTTGAATAGAACTCGTGAGAGCAGAAGTCACTGCCTTATTCTAAATCCTAGTAGGGAAACAATTGTTTTGTCACTATTAAGTGAAAAATAATATTGAATATCAGTTTTTTAGATGAATTTTTATCATTTTAGAAAGATTACTTCCTGTTTGCTAAGAGTTTTCTGGTTTGTTTTATTTATCACAAATAGATGATGCTATTATCTTTTTCTTTCTTTCTTTTTTTTTTGAGCTGAGTCTCGATCTGTCGCCCAGGCTGGAGTGCAGTGGCGCGATCTCGGCTCACTGCAAGTTCCGCCTCCCGGGTTCACGCCATTCTCCTGCCTCAGCCTCCTGAGCAGCTGGGACTACAGACGCCCGCCACCACGCCCAGTTAATTTTTTTGTATTTTTAGTAGAAACGGGGTTTCATCGTGTTGGCCAGGATGGTCTCGATCTCCTGACCTTGTGATCCGCTGGCCTCAGCCTCCCAAAGTGCTGGGATTACAGACGTGAGCCAACGTGCCCGGCCGATGCTATTTTCTTTACATTAACTTTATTTTAGGCATTTATTTCAACCTAGAAAATTTATATTGAACTATATTCAAGGTTACTGATTTTTTTTTTTTTTTTTGCTGTGCCCAGTGTGTTTGTTAACCCACTGAACAAATCATTCATCTCTGATATCATGTGCTGTTATTTCAAGCATTCACTTTAACTTTTTATATATTTTCCATAACTGGACTGCACTTTCCCATTCATTTATACATTGTTGTTCACATTTTTAATGTCTTTATAATGTGTTCTGTTTTGCTTATTGTTTATCTTATAATTGAAAGCCAGATATTTAAAATTTAATGAAAGAGAGGGATAGAGATGGAAAATTACAAAGTCAGATTGTAGAAAAGTGTCTTCACATTCACACACATGCATACATACACACACAAACACACACACACACACATATACACACTAAAACCTAGGTAGAGGTGACCGGGAAGGCCTCTGCTGATGAATACCTGGGCTGGGAATGCAAATATGCATAGACCGTGGCAAAGGAGCCTGAGTTCTTGACTGCAACTCCCTTCAGAGACTGCAATGCACTGGCTGTTCCGCATGTCTTGTGCGGGAAGAACAGCTTTCCTCCTGAAGCCTTTGTAATTGCCTGTGGTTGGGCCTCAAAGATCACACAAAGGTTGTTTTTTAGGAGCTGAACTCTCCATATGTATCATGCTTATTTTTAATTATTTGTCTCATCCTCCTTAGTTAATATGTGTTGTTTAATTTGTTGGAGAGGTTTCTATAATTCTTATAGCTTGAAAATTTTATGCCAGTGAATATAGTCCTTTGCTTAGTTTTGTGTCCAGGTAAATTTATTGAGAAAGCAACAGATAATTTTGAAGCTGAATATCTCCATAATCTCCAGTTTTGCTGTCCCTGGACCCCAAAACAACCTTGATGAGGGTTTTGCCTTTAAATCCTTCTTAAGAAACACCAGCATTGGAAGGAGGCGGTCATCTTAGCATGCAAAGCTCATTAGTTTTGGAGGGAGAACAGGTGGAGATATGAATGGTAAAGGAAGACTAATCATTCCTTATCTCTTTTCGTCAATTCCACACCTTCTAAGAAATTTGTGCTAAGTATCACCATGCCAAAAATAGCAGGCTTACGGTTTTTTTCTGTGTAACACCATAGTAAGTGAAAGGCACTGAAGTTGGGGAAGGCGAAAAGAGAAATTAAAATATTTCCTCTA
Source organism: Homo sapiens (assembly GCF_000001405.40). NCBI lineage: Eukaryota > Metazoa > Chordata > Mammalia > Primates > Hominidae > Homo > Homo sapiens. Next base: position 132,547,973 of record NC_000004.12, on the reverse strand, counting down.
ACCCAGCCTTCACCTCCTGCCTCCAGTCAAGTTCTACACTCCAACCTTAAGTCTCTTTATGTATTCAATAGTTTAGAAGCCTTCACAGTTCCCAGCAGTTTTTCCTGTTTCTTAATTTATATAACCCACCTCTCCCTCACTTAAATGGTTCTCCAGAATTATTTGCGAATAGAAAAAGAACAGCTTGTACTTTTTTCCTGTAAATTTACACTATTTATTTGTGTTGGGGTCCTTATATACCTATTACACCAAAAGCCCTTTTGATATCAACCTATCTTCAAGTTCTTTCTGCATATTTTCAGGGTGTCTCTTTCTGTAATTCCTAAAATTCATCCTTGAAAGAAATATTACCCAGAGTACTGCTAGTGAAACTGTCCCACTTAAATATACATTATTAAATATAAAAATCACAAGAAAATGTTAAATGAAAGAGAAGGAGGAGAAGAAGGACAATGAAGAGCAGAAGGTGGAGAAAAAGAAGGGGGAGGAGAAGAAAGAAAACATAAAGAGGGGGAATAGGAGAAAGGAGAAGAGCAAGGAGAAGGAAGAAAAGGAGGAGGAAGAGGAGGAAGGAAGATTACTTGTGTAGAGTTGGTGAGTAGTATATGGCAAGGTGTTACCTGTGTTTAGTTACTACCATTCTGGTCCAAAGTCGAATATCTAATGGTGGTCCTGAGACTGGTGCTGATGTTAGCAGCAGCGAATCTGTACGGGTCTGCAGTGTCTTCAATTCTTGCTTCCACAGAAGAAAGAATTCGAGGGGTGTAAGGCAGAGTGGGAAACCAAGGCAAGCTTCAGAACAGGAGTGAATGTTTATTAAAAAGCTTAGTAAAGTACACTTGGAAGAGGGCCAAGTAGGTGACTTGTAAGGCCAAATGTGTGGTTTAACCTTTGGCTTAGGGTTTTATGCATTGGCATACTTCCAGGGGGTTGCGTCCCTTCTGTCCTGTGTCTTCCCTTTGGGTGGGCTGTCTGCCTGCGCAGTGGCTGCCAAAACTTGGGAGACATGCGCAGTGTGTTTACTGGAGTTGTAGGCATGTCCTTCCCTTACCAGTCAAGTGTTCCTAGAAGGTCATATACCAGTTAAACTCCACCATTTTGTCTTAGTGTGCATGCTTGAGCTCACTCACCCAACTCCAGAGATCTTATTGGGAAGTGGCTGATCACCAATTTCAGGTGTTTCTGTCTATTGGGAGACTGCCTGTCCCTGTCATCAGCTGTGACCAATTATTATTATCTTATTGGGAAGCTGCTGATCACCAGTTTCAGGTGTTTCTATTGGGAGACTGCAGTTCCCTGTTGCCAGCTGTGACCAATTATTTTAACAACCACCTGATCATCACCTGATGGTTGCCTGACCCCTGGTGTGGGTGTGGGGGTAGGGCGGGGGCGCTCTCTGGCCTGGCGCATGTTTGACTAACTACCTCCTGTACCATTTCTCCACTCAAGAGTTCGAGACCCCATTTATTTGGAAAAAAATGGGCAAAGGTCAGCCTTTTGTAACTCCTTTCTTCTGACAGAGGAGTGGAGGTGGTGGTTTTGTGGATCTTGGCCTCTTATTAGCTGTCAGGGCAGTGTTGTCTCCCTGAGTTGGTGAAAGCAATACCCAGACAGGTCCAAGGGAGATAGGGGCAGGATTTCACCTTTGTCATGTTCCACTGATTGGCAGTCTAGGGGTACGCTCTGTAGAAGGGTGACTCTTGAATATTGAGAGGATGGTATCCCTCATACTGAAGATCATCTGGAGCTTAATGGCCTGAAGGTGAGAAGAGACAAATTGGGTTTTTAAATTTAGAAAGATGTCAAAATAAGATTAAGGGGTGAGGACAGCTCTAAAAAATTCCAAGGCTGCTGATGTACCCAGGTAGCTGGTGGCTGTCATCATTGCCCACTAAGACTTAGGTGCATGGGATTGCTAGTTAGTTCCAATATGTACCCAGAATTAGAATATTGATCCAGATTTTTACATTGTCCACCCTCTTGTTTCTTCTGAGCTGCAGGCAGCAATCACTGGTTGGTTCACAGGAATAAGCAGAGTTAGCCCAAATTGCAGATAAAAACTCAAAAACAACTGAGAGACTAGAGTCTAATAACAGGAGTAATAAATTTTTTGAAACATAATTTTTCTCCCTAGTTTTAAAAAAAAAATAATAGAACTGATTTGTTTGCAAAATAACTTCAGGCTTACTATACATGGCTTAATTATTTGCATAAAGCACAGAAAGAATAATTATTTGCCATATGTGCTTTTTTAAAAAAAATCGGCTTTTATGGAATCTTGTTCCATAAAGAATCTCAGATACGACTTCTTTTTTTTTTTTTTTTGAAAATGCAGCTCTTTTTTTAATTATTATTATACTTTAAGTTTAAGTTTTAGGGTACATGTGCACAATGTGCAAGTTTGTTACATATGTATACATGTGCCATGTTGGTGTGCTGCACCCATTAACTCGTCATTTACATTAGGTATATCTCCAAATGCTATCCCTCCCCCCTCCCCCCACCCCACAACAGTCCCCGGTGTGTGATGTTCCCCTTCCTGTGTCCACGTGTTCTCATTGTTCAATTCCCACCTATGAGTGAGAACATGCGGTGTTTGGTTTTTTGTCCTTGGGATAGTTTGCTGAGAATGATGGTCTCCAGCTTCATCCATGTCCCTACAAAGGACATGAACTCATCATTTCTTATGGCTGCATAGTATTCCATGGTGTATATGTGCCACATTTTCTTAATCCAGTCTATCATTGTTGCACATTTGGGTTGGTTCCAAGTCTTTGCTATTGTGAATAGTGCCACAATAAACATATGTGTGCATGTGTCTTTATAGCAGCATGATTTATAATCCTTTGAGTATATATCCAGTAATGGGATAGCTGGGTCAAATGGTATTTCTAGTTCTAGATCCCTGAGGAATTGCCACACCGACTTCCACAATGGTTGAACTAGTTTACAGTCCCACCAACAGTGTAAAAGTGTTCCTATTTCTCCACATCCTCTCCAGCACCTGACTTTTTAATAATCGCCATTCTAACTGGTATGAGATGGTATCTCCTTGTGGTTTTGATTTGCATTTCTCTGATGGCCAGTGATGATGAGCATTTCTTCATGTGTTTTTTGGCTGCATAAATGTCTTCTTTTGAGAAGTGTCTGTTCATATCCTTTGCTCACTTTTTGATGGGGTTGTTTGTTTTTTTCTTATAAATTTGTTTGAGTTCATTGTAGATTCTGGATATTAGCCCTTTGTCAGATAAGTAGGTTGCAAAAATTTTCTCCCATTCTGTAGGTTGCCTGTTCACTCTGATGGTGGTTTCTTTTGCTGTGCAGAGCTATTTAGTTTAATTAGATCCCATTTGTCAATTTTGGCTTTTGTTGCCATTGCTTTTGGTGTTTTAGACATGAAGTCCTTGCCCATGCCTATGTCCTGAATGGTATTGCCCAGGTTTTCTTCTAGGGTTTTTATGGTTTTAGGTCTAACATTTAAGTCTTTAATCCATCTTGAATACAACTTCTTTAAGGACTTGGGCCCAGCCATGAGTTGGTGCCATCAAATACTTTTATGAGTTGTGTAAATCCTCTCTTATTGAGGTCACAAGATATCTTAGGGCTCCTGGGCCTATCAGAAAGTGACATCCTTTATCTACCGCAGGACAGGAACCCTGTACATTGTGTAGACAAAGTATGAGTCCAGTTTTCCCAAAGGTTTCTTTATTGGCTCTTTAAATCAAATTTGATTCCTTAAAGAAAAACAAGCCATTTTAGTCAAAGCCTAAGTAAATAATCAGTTTCTCCAACTGTAATCTGTTGCAAAAGAAAACAGATTCTTATTGCACTTATGCAAATAAGTGCATTGACATAAGTTAAAAATACTCACAAATAGTTTCAAAATTCTGGAGAAATCAGGTACAGAGAAACAAATATGCTCCAAATTTTCTTTATAGGAGTATACTTTACTCAGTTGTTAAAAGCTGGAACTAGAAGGACTGTTTCAGTCCTTTATTAGTGCAGTTCATGCAGATAACTCCTGTTCTGCTTGATATTCATGAACATTTTAGCTCTCCATGAGAGTTCTGAAAGTTTTTCCTTTGTTCTAATGTCAGTCTCTGAAGTCATTGGAAACCTGCATTTAAGAGCAGCTGTTACAGTTCTATAGCTGAATTATAAAACCACCTTCTAAAGAGGATGAAAAAATGATGACAATTGTCTGTGGGTGTCAAAACTTCTCAGGGCAGCCACAGTCAAAGGCACATTTGCCATGCAAATTTGTTACCTCTGTGGCACACAATAATTTAACATAACAAATATAATTATTATTGATAATGTATACTAAGTTATATCAGAATTATAGGAATTTCACATAATGTTGGAAGATGTACCAATAACACATTTATAAAGAGCAGATTAATGCTTTAATAAAACTCTGTTGTGCTTTTATTCCAATGTTCAATTTCTGGAAAAACTGAATAATTAAAACCACTTTAGCTAATATGATCACACACAGAATTTTGTTTACAAGATTAATTTTTCACAAACCATCCCCAACTAGCTTCAACCTTTAGCTTTATCCTAACTAATGTAAAACAATATTTTGACCCTTTAAACTAGGAAAAATAATCTACATTTTCATGCTTTCTTATAATCTTTCACCAAAAGCACATTCTACTTTACACACCTTGTATGTAAACATCCCTCTTTTTAAACAACCAGTCATTGTACTTTAGGACAAGAATTTACCATATAAGATCCTTTGTCATATAAAATCTTTTTTCTTTATGACCTTCATTACCAAAAATACCTCTTTACCTCTATAATCTTTGAATTAGACAAGTCATTTTCTGTTAGGAAGTTAAGGTTTGTATTGCATGTTGCTGTGTGAGTCATGCAAGCGGGGAGCAGATATGGAGGTTATCTATATACTGTAGAAGTTATCTTCCCCTTAAGATATTGCTCAGTTAAAGTTTTGCTAGGGCTTATTTGAATAAGTGTGGGCTATTTCTAAACCTATGAGGTAGGGCTGTCCAGGTTGAACTTAAATTTATTGGTTAAAGATTTAGGTAGATTTCTCAGGGTAAAAAGGGCTATGAGAGGGAATGATGAATTTAGAGATTGGGTAAATACTAAGCAGCCACCCTTCTTGGAAAGTATATTTTTGCTCACAAATGTGTGAATCTTTTCTTTTGGAGGGAGGGTGTGCCATTTAGTCACATTGCCTGACAGAATTTGGAGGACAGTTGCTTAGAGGAGATTAGCACAGAGTAGGCAGTTCTTGAACCCAAAAGGGAAATTGATAATTTTTTTTTGCCACCTCCAGAGTTGCTCTTGGCTTTGGCCTGTTGATGATGATGTCTGATTTAGAAGCCAGCCAGAGAGCCCCTTCAGCTCAAGGTCATCAGGGGTTGGAATTCTGTCCCACTTATCCTTCAGCCATCAGGGAAAGTCCCATTTACAATGGCTGAGCTTGTAGCAAAGTGGGTAAGCTGTGTGAGGCTACCTCCTGTTTGTCCCCTTAGGGCAGTTTGCCTTCCAGTGGCCTGGCTTCCCACACCAATGGCAGTTATCTGGAGGAATGTCCTTAGGGCAACCTGGAGAAGGCTTGAGAGCTTGCAGAGCAGCCAGTACTTAAGCATGCCTCTGGCTCCAGCATTTCTCTTTCCTTAGCCTTGACCTCTTTGTCCTGATTTCAGTTACAAAAACTGAGGAAGCTAATTTCAGGATTTCCTGCATAAGGGCACTGAATTCTAAGACTGACTTTCATAATTTTCTCCCAATTTATTTTTAGGCCAAACAGTATTACAAAGGAAAACTAGTTTTTTGTTGTTTTAAGGTTTGGGAGAATTAAATTTTACCCAGTTTTGGGGATTGCATCTGAGGAGCATGTCCTCTGGTATGGAGACATGACTACCCATCTGTGAAGAGAGAACAGAGGGAGAAAAAATAAAGTGAAGCATTCCCTCTTATTTTCCTATTATCTTGAATTGGGTGTTCCCCCATTCATCCTTAGGGTTCCAGAATAAACTGGTCTTACCTTGTACCTTTAACCTTGGTCCCATCTCATCACAATTACCCACCGGAGAACAGAGGACGTATCCGAGTGTACAAGAGGCCCCTGTTTATCCTTGGGTTTCTGGGTTGAACTGGTCTTCTCGCATACCCTTAACCTTGCCTTTATCTCTGTTCTAATGGTAATCTATTAGTCTGGGACCACGCTTCATCACTTGCACCTGCATCCTTAGGCTGGGCTATATTTGTGTCTCCATAAGCTTATAGAAACTCCGAGTATTCTAGCAAGAAAATAATTATCTATTTTCTCAGATTCCCGTTTCCCATGATCTTTAAGTAGGCAAGAAACCTGTTTTTCAGTTAACTGCCGCAAGGTGGCTGGACTTTCCTCTTTTTAAATATAACCTTGAAGGTCTTGATGCATATTGAGAAGGGTATGGAAGTGGAGGAGGAAATGGAGGCTGCAGGAGGAAGTGAAAGAAGCAAGAGGAATACTCACAGGAAGCCTTCATATGCTAGTGGAAACAGCAGCCCTTGGACTGAAGAGGGCAACGTTTATTTGCCCTCTTGACATAAAGGAGGAACCTCTGGAGGACTCAGGGCTTGGGGTAAGAACTCAAACATGGCAAAAGAAGAATTTCCCCTCCTCCCAAAGAGGTGCTAACCCAAAAATAAACAGTAGGTGAGGTGCTCAAAGGACCACAGAGTGAGACCCTATGTAGGCATGTTAACTTTTTCAAAAGCCACTGGAAAACTTGGCCCTGGATCATAACAGGGATAAAAAATGTATGGTTAGTCACAAAGAGCTGGCAGAGCCGGGGTTCCAGTTAGTGTCTGTCCTAGCAATGGGCAAACAGGCATCTGCAAAGGAGTCTGTTTCTTTGCTGCTGAGAAAATGCAGCAAGAGCTGTGGGCACATGAAAAACGGGGGGTGTATGTTTAAGACAGACTTGCTCTGAAGGCAAAGGATCCCGCAGGTGCAAAAGGCCATTTCACAATATGCACAGAGTAAACAGGAGAACAGGTGATGTGAGTTTTTGGGAAAGAGCCAATTGTAGATGGAAAAGCAGAGGAAACCCAAGATATTAAATGATCTCAGGCTTTAGCCCTACTACTCTCACGAGCTTCCAGTCCAGGAAAGCTATGAGTGTCTCTGACCTACTCTGTGCAGATTACAGGGTCCTTGACACCCTGATAAGTGTGTCAGGGTAACCTGAGAGATCAGCCAGGGAGAAGCAGAGACACTGTGACCCAGAATAATCATTCTGGGGGCTGATTATTAAGCAGGAGAGTGAAAGGGGAGAAGAAAATATACATGAGGTTGAATGCCTCCAGCTGAAGAAGGCAAGATATAGAGATATCTTACAAGTAGAGAATGTAACTGAGTTAAGTGGCACCAATGTATGTTAACAGGAGCAAATTTGTACAGGTCAGCAGCAACCTCAGTTCTTGCCTCCTCAGAAGAATTCAACTGAGAGGCATAAGGCCTGACATTCCTGATGGTGCTTGGGGGTGGGGTGGGGCTCTCTTGCCCTGCTTGACTCTCCTGCCCTGCCTGTGTTTGACTGATCGCCTACTGTAACAGTAGTTGCTGCAGTTTCAGTTATTTAGAAAAGCTGGACATGTGTAGAAGATGACAAGCTGGGACCCAAGGAGGTGTTGTTGTGCCTGGAACCTTATTTGACTGACTTATATAAGACTTCAAAATCTGGCATAAGCTTTTATGACTAATGCTACTTAGAAAAATGCAAGAAAGGGGATTCTGTGAAATGTATTCTTCAGTTTAACCAAAGTGACACAGCACAGTTGAAACCTTGGCAACTTGACATTCATACATCTTTTTTAACTGTATTTTTTTAACTCATATGCAGCACTCTAACTATATTTGGTATTCATAGGCATCTCTTTTAGATACATTTAGCTTTGAAATAAAAAAATAGCAAAATAATTATTTCTCCTAACATGATACAACTATCCCTCATACCTCCCATCACATGCTCTGCCCTCAAAACAGGGTATGTCCATTTATCCATCACTAGGTGATGCCAATTTCTTTTCTATCTGAGTCACATCCTTATTTATTTATTTAGAGACTGGATCTTGTTCTTTCACCCAGGCTGGAGTGCAGTGGTGTGATCAGAGCTCATTGCAGCCTTGACCTCCTGGGCTCAAGTGATCCTCCCACCTCAGCCTCCCAAGTGACTACAGGTGCATACCACCAAACCAGGATAATTTTTGTAGTTTTCATAGATATGAGATTTCACTATGTTGCCCAGGCTGATCTCAAACTCCTGGACTCAAGTAATCCACTCGCTTCCCCTACCAAAGTGTTGGGATTACAGGCATGGGCCACCATTCCTAGCTCACACTCCTCTTTGTTACTACCTAAATTAAGTACTGAGAGGCAAATTTACCTACTACTTATTACTTTGTATCCATGGAAAATAATTAGTTTTTACTAGGAACCTAGAGCAATCCAGAAGCTTTATTCAAAAAGATGATACCTGCAGGAGACAGAGAGTTTTGCTCCAAATTCTGAAGGCCTTCACTGTGATTAATCTAAAACGGTGATTGTAAGAGCTTCTCTTGAAACTACTACGTTTTTTCTTGTTTTGTGTTTTTACAACATTAGAAAATGCATTAGAGCTTTTTGTAAAAATTGTGAGCCCAAATCTAATTAATATTTATTGAATCATGGGTCCCATCACTCAATCATATGCCTTGAATTTTATGCATTGAGAAATTTAAGTATGCTGTCCAATTCTTCACTGTTCAAAATTATTATTATTTTTGTTATAGATTCCTTATTTTATAATAATGTTTTACTATTATCTAGTACGACTGGTAGATTAAAATAATTGTGACCATGTATTAAATGCTTTACTATGGAAGTAAATACTAATAATATTTCCATTTTATACATAAGGGTACTAAGGCATTGAAAAAGTAATTTATTTGACATAAATTTGATAAATAAAAATAACATTATACATTAACATATTAACATTGGGCATGCAAAACATGGAGAAAAAAGTGACATTTTATATACATCATATTTCACTTGAGTTGTGAGTAGATACATTGGCATGATTAAAAGTAGGAAATTATTCAATTATTTGATTTAAAACTAAATAAATATGATCAAAATAAGCCAGGACAATCATTGCGTTACTCATACTTAACATTTCTTCATCTGTCAAGCTGCATCTTTCTGAGATGCTCTTTGCTTGCTTGTCAATGTGCATCGCCTTTGCCAAATCTTCCCTGTATGAGGATTATTTGGAACATATGCCAGATGACTACTTTGCTCACCATCTTTTGATTTTTCAGTTTCTCTCTTTCAACTTCCCATAATTAGTCTGGAGAAGCTGAGATAAAGTTTATTGCCAGAAAGTGACTAAGATCAAAATCCCAATTACTGGCACTTTATTCCTTTGATAGAAATCGAAGCTGCCTTATCATTTATTATGGGAAAATGTATATAAATACATCAGAAAGATGGTTTATACACCTTCTCTTTTGGTAAATTTCATTTTGGGGCTCTAGCAATTTGATATTAAATAAATTGAAGTCAGTTAATATTTTATCTTATTCCATATGATTTACAGAAATGTCTTTGAGTGTAACTATATGTAAGTAAATAAATAAAATTACCTTGAATTGATACTATACAACTGCGAACTAGAAGCTGAGATTAATTTCTGCTTTAAGTTGTGGACCTTTGCGAACATATTATTTAGACAAGAAAGCAGAAACCACTATGTATGCCCTTTGAATTTTCACATATCCTAATTTTCTTTGACACAATCTGAATACCATTAACATATCCTGTGTATATACACTGATATATAGCAGTAAATATTTGTTGTTGTCCCTTAGAGTCATTGAAAGGAGCAAGGGCAATTTGTAATTTTTGTATAAAATATAATAATATACAGGCATATTTGGATAATTCTTATACTTTTCTACTTGGTGTTTATTTAGCATTATTTGTCTATTAGGAAAATTTTATGCAGTAAAAGAAAAAAATAAACTTTTGTACTATTTGTTTTCAGTACATAAATAAATTTCTGCTGAACAGAGAAAGATAAATTTCTTTTCACAGTAAACAAAAATCACTAATATTTCCAATGCTTAATTATTATTATTTCTACTCCAAAGCTATTTCATTAATGCTTTTATAACCACAAATTTCTCTTTCATTTAATGATGATTCAGGTAAAGTTTACAGATTACAATTGTTGCAAAAGAAAGTTCTTATTCTATTTAGTTTTAAATAAACATTTTCAAAATTTTCCAAAGAGAAAATTCAATTTTCTTCTAGTAGCACTCAAATTCAGTACATAAATGCTGTGTTTATATAAAGGAATGTATTATTCCCATTGTGCTAAAATGTTTATTATTTCAACTGTAGAAAATGGCATATCATGGAATTAATTTTCCTTCAACATAATACAGTTAATACAACAGGACCTGAAAGTGACTAAGATGGTTGGGAGAAATAAAGTTTATTGCTTGTACTGTAACTGTACCTGTAATAAAACTCAAAAACTTATTTTCCACACCAAAAGTCTTCAATTGAAAGAGAGTTTTAGGTGTGACTATTAGTAAACTGAGAAAAGTAATGGAAAGAAAATTATTAAACAACAATTGCATTATTTAATAAATACTTCTATTAATATCTGTGTATAAGTGGCTCCAGTGGCTCTGTCTAGGAAAAAAAACCTAATTTTTTCAAGAAATATTTTCAGCCTGAGAAATAACATTTACTTTTGTTGAACTCTGTGGTATGCATTTAGGAGGAAATTCTTTAAAAAGAAGGTACTATATGATACATGTACAAGCTTTTTAGAAAATTATATTTGTGTAAGATTTATCTTGCCCCAGCACTCGAATAAAGACAGAGTATTGTAACAATTATAAGCCTTAACCCTCCAATCAATTCAGTTTAGTCTTAATTCTGAACGTAGGAAAGAAAATGCTAAAAGACCAAGGGCATTTTCGATGTATGTGCCAATTGAGTTATCATTTTTATTGATTTACTATTGTGAAAAGAATAAGTAGAAGAGAGGAGAAGGAGAGGAGGAGGAGGAACAGAAGAAAGAAGAGTAATAAGAAGAAGGGGAGAAAGAATAGGATTGTAATTAAAATGAATGCAGAATTAGAAGAAAAGCAAAATGAATATATTACTCTTACAGCTAAATAAATTTTATCTGAAGACTTGCACTAGGAAGAAGTATTTTTATAAAAAATATCAAGATTACTAGGGAGAAATTTTGAAAGAATTATATGGTAAACTTCAATGCGTATACTTGTGAAAATAGAGAAAATTCAAAATATTCAAAATTTAAAATTCCAAGTTGCTATTAAAAACATTTTTACCAGATTATCAAGATATCATGATAGTATTACAAAAATAAATATTGTTAAAGATTACTGTTAAGTAATTTGTGTAAATTAACAAAAACTCTAATGTAATAAGATGGCCGGAGTAGAACAGATTACCAAAATAAAGGAATATAGCCCCTTTTATGAGGAAACCAAATTTTTCTATGGCTTAGATATTCTCCAAAAAAAATTCTCATAGATAGTAAATCATATATCTCATAACATCTCTCTCATTATTTTGACAAAGTGTAGAACAAAGTAGATTGTGTTTAAGTGGATTTCCATGTTATTCATGTAAACCTATTTTTAATAGATTAAATGGTTATGATGGGAAAAATAATTTCATGAAGATATTGCCAATTTAAAAATATTCTAGTGATACAAGTAACCAATCTTTCAGACATAAGACCTTTTAATCTGTCCTAATACCAAAAGGTAATTTAAATCTGTAAATGACATAGATGAAGTATGTTTAAAATGTCTCAGAAACTGTCTTAATCTGCATGCCTGGTTTTACGTTTCTGTGTGGGAGGAATAAATCTAGATCAGGGAGGCAAATGGAGTGGAGGAGATGTTCTAGAACTCAAGATTTAAAAAGAATATTCACAAAGGAAGCAGAAATTATTGGAAAGATAGAAATAAACTAAATAAAAGAAACTACTGGAGAGATAGGCTTATAAAATGGCTCCCCAAAATACTACAGGCCCTGCACAGTTCTTGAAATTGCAATTATAATGGATTTTACTCCCATAATCCAGTCAGCCATGCAGTGCTGGATCACTGGTTCATAGAACTCTGAGCTAATAAATGTGTGTCGTGTTGAATTGTTAAGCCTGTGAAATGAATAAAATGAATATATTAGGTGAACACAGTAGAGTAGGAGTGAAGCATAATAACAGTAAAAAGTATACTGTTCCACAATTTTCACATTGCAAATCATTCATTTATTCAACAAATATGTTTTGTACATATATTAGTTGTTCATGGTGGAGGTATGACTATTCACTCATGGAAATTAAAGTCAGATACTTCTGAAATCATCCAGTGTGATTTGTAATTTTAATAAATATTTAAGAAATAGCCTATTTACACTACTACTAATTTCTGGGTTGGAGTACACATTCAGTGGATCCCACAATTCTGATATTCAATCAGATAAATACAGATATTTTATCAAATCTACAGAAATAAGAATAAGTGTGGACTGTGAAACAATAGATAGATATTACAAAATGGGTCTTGAGTTTTGGGGATGGCAGTTTACAGTCTTTACACAGATAATGCCCTTTATTCCAGTATATTGTCAAAATGTATGAATGGAAATTACTGATATTCCATTAAGTAATATCTGTTGCATAGATTTTTTAAATCAGAGAGACTTCTGAGAATTAGGTTTGCTTCTGATTAATTGTAAGAGCTTGTCAAGTTATTTAATGTCTCTAGGCATGTTTTTTTCTAACTTTTATATAAATACCTTAACTATATATAATATTAAAATAACGACTACATAAGTTAGTCATAAAGATTAAATATGCTGATACCTGTAAGACATTTAGAAAAGTAGCCATAATATTGAAAAGCACTCAATAAATATTAGGTATTAATATTACATTATTATTTGTTATGTACTAATGAATTTCATTAATATTAATTAAATATGCATAGCAAGTAAATGCATAAATGGACATGTGAATGAATAAATGCCTATGCCCTCTCGAGTACACTATTTTTAGTTTCCCCATTAGAGCTGCAATTGATTCTTATTCTATACATTATTTTAGTAGTAATAGCTACCTACATTCTCTCTGCATTCTTATTGAATATTTCTAAACTATAATTTTTGTGAAATACAAATTGATAAGCAGTAAAAGTTGCCTGCTTTAAATCACTTTTAATAAATGATTATGGTCAGGTTAATATCCGTAACAAGTCACTTGGTTTGAAATTAATGTTAATGCATTAGCTTTCTACCCAGCCATCAGCCATTTTAATTCATTTGGGAAATAGGCAGCAAAAATAATAATCACAAATAAAGAAAAGTGAAAATCTATTAGATTAGGTATTTCTCATTTGGACTTTCTTTCCACCTATTTGAGCCAGTCATCACTTCACCTAATTTCAAGCTCTTCTTTGCCTAGATGATTTATTCCACAATGTCTCAAAAATCATGTAATATTCAAAGTCATAGAAATAAAACAAACTGTCATTCTAGGTCATAGAATGCCATGATTTATTAATTAAAATTACTGATCTTTCTCTGAGTTATATCTGTTGCATAGAGCAGGATGACCAATATGCATTCAGGTCCTAACAATAAATCTGTAGTATTAGAGTATACAATTGACCAGTAATTAGTGGAAAGAGAAAATATAATCATATAGTAGAATTGCAAAAATGCCAACTTGGGTAATGTTCTATGTCTTAAGATGGTATCAACAGAAGTGGTAAAACAATACACAAGTTCGGAATAAATGCTAGAGTTGATATCACAATGCTTGAGCCCAAAATCTAGGCACCTCTGATAGAGATCAAAGTTATAAAAAGCTTGGGAAAGTAAGTGGAAAGAGAACCTATGGAGAGAATTCAAAGGCAGCAGCTCTTGCCCTGTGGTGAAGAGCCTTGACATTCAGCCTGGGGATGGAGGTTTCCATAGTATATTTCTGCATATATGTTTGTCTGTATTGGGGAGTTAATGGACTCTCCACTAACCAAATCCTAAAATCTTTGGCATAGCCATACTCTAAAATGGGGAGCATAGAAAGGGTGGTTTAATGATCTACTTTAAATAGTAATTAAAATTAGAATTTATTTGTTCCCCATTTTTTTTTTGGACCTCACCTCTGCTGTACCATAGGTGGTTCACTTACTAAGCATTTTGGCAAATGTTAGAAATGAGTGACAAGGAAGACCATGAAGTTTCCTCCCAAAATAGCTAGCCAGACCATTAAGGCTGTATTTGAACCTTAAAGAAGCCATGGTACCCTTTATTACATAAAAATGATTAAAGAAGTCATGATAGTTGCTGTTTGTTTGTTTGTTTTTCTTTTTCTGGGCAGAGGAAAGTATTCCACTGATTAACAAGAGAATGAGAGATAAACATAGATTGTATTTTGTTTATGTCCTCTCGGTCATGCTTTCACAATGCAGCCATTAAATCCATAAGAGGAATGACAATTCAGAAACATAGTTTGAATTTTGTAGATTAATAATGTTATTATAGTACGATCAGTTTGTGAGATAACCTCTCCGGTAATTAGAAAAATGCAAGAGAAATAATACATTTTTCTGGCTTTTGTTCTTTTTTGTTAGAAATAAGAATTGTGAGAAAGTATAAAATGCATTGTGCTAAAGTTGTTGCAAGTGATTATAGAAAAAAGATCTCCATTGCTTATGAGTATATGTGAGATACATTTATCCTTAATATAAGCTTAATAATATTTATGTTTATTCAAAAAACAGTCATAGAACTAATCTTACTATTTCAACTTATGGAAAAATAACTTTCTTTTAAGAGGGATTATAAAACTATTTTGCTAATAACGTAATTTTCCCATTGAGATTCATGTTTTTATAATGTGGCTTTGATAATTTAAGGAAAAGCAATGGGCTATTGAAAAATAACAGGCTAAATTCCTTCATTGGTGACAATATAATAAAAATTCAATTCTGTGTTTTGTCTTGTCATTAAATGTAAATTATTTTCTAATGGGAAAATGAAGTGTGTAATATAATAAAAAAAGAACTTTGATTTTAGGCAGAGTTCTGCACATATTCAAAATTGCTGCAAAAATATTTGAGTACAAAGTCAATGTAATTCTGTGGCCAAAATACGTGTAAGTCTGGGTCAAAATACATTCTTTCTACAGTCCTTCTATATTGTGATGAAAAAATACACAATGTCATACCACACTTGTTCTTAACAGGATCAGTTTCAAAATTGGCATAATGCTGAGTGACAAATTTCTCTCTAGAAAAGGTCAGAGTTACAGTTAATTAATTTCAACTAAACCCAAGTATATGAATCCATGTTTAATGAAACATGAATTTATAGTTACTTTTCAATTTAAGGCTTAGAAAAATATGCCTGATAATTCTCTTATAGTGCTGTGTGGAAATTTTTCTACTTTCGTATAAAAACATATTTTAAATGTATTAATCCATATATGTATAGTTGTAACCAATCTGTTAATTTACAGTGTTAAGGAAAACTTTTTTTTTTCTATGTCAGAAGACAGTGTGGATGCCATCTGCTACTGGAAATCCTTATTCTTAAAAATAGATGGGTACTCCAAGTATAGAATCCTGATTTCATTTCTGTTTTGTGTAAACACAACATCTGTTACATCAAAAAGGCAGGCTCCCACAGTGTTTTTTTTTAAGGAAGTTATCTATTAAATGAAGGCATGCATTGTTTAGCAACATAATTACATAAAATATTTTTTCTCTCAGTAATTATGCTCTGAAAATAAATATCTGTGCACATTTTATGTCATCCAAAGTGAGGTGTAAAATGTCATTATGTATAGGGTATATTTCATGCATTTATTTATCAAAGTCTGCACAATCAGATACTACAGTCACCCTAATCAGAAGTGTCTTTGCTAATAATGGAGTACATTGGTAAAATAGGTAAGTAAAATTTGTTAAACAGGACTTGGGGAATTAATCTCACAGCAGGATAACTTTAAAGAAAATGAGGTCAAACTAGGATGGTCTTTTAAAATAACTAATTAACAGTGTCTTTAATATGTGGTATGATGGTAAATTCTTTTTCACATGCTTACCTGCCAAAGCACTTAGTTTGAAAATGATGTTTTGCCAAGAGCAGGTGTTCAGCCAGTGCAAAATCACTTTACTGACTATATATTTAGTATCACATGAAGAGTGACATGATTTAAAGCATTCTTAGCACAGGACCTCATGATTGTCTGCATACGTTTCTGTGGGCCCATCTCACTGGCAGTTTTAATTTTCCAGTGTTGAGTTCTGTATCTTATTTGGTGTTTACAGCCTCCTGGTATCAGTATACCATATATTATGTCCCTCCTCACACTGGTCTTGGGGTGATGCTGCAAACATTGTTGGGATACTGTGTAAATTGTACAATCGTTAATTAAATGACTATATGTAATTTGTGCTACTTAGTGGATAGGTGCAAACAAGAATGTATGTTTCTAGTTTTACTTTATAGAGGGTTTTCCTTAGACTTCTCCTGGTAAACATTTTTGCAAATGACTGATACTGAAAACAGAAAGTGGCTTCCTAAATTTGTGAGTGGGAGGAATAGCAAATACTTTGAGTGACAAAGTCAGAATCCAAAGTAAAGAGATTAGTAATTGCCTAACCAATATCTATTTTCCAATTTATTTTTATAAAAGACTTTTGTTAGAATAACTTTAAGAGCAGAATACCACCTACCATTTAAACTGTATCTTGCAGCAAGGGCTGAATTTGTGATGAACATTTGGCCAATTCGATTTGGAAAATACTTCATCTCCTAGCAACCTATAAACAACTATTCATCTCCTTAGTGACTACTTCATCTCCTTGGAAACTATAAACAACTATTTTTTAGGGTGTTGATATCTGATATCTTAACTAACTATAAACAGTAGTTGTTTACAGTTACGAAGTATTTGTATAGGTTGTAACACAAATAGATAACTAGAAGAGGATCTTAAAAGCATTGATTATGTCTTACTCATGTATTTATGTGTTTTCTGTGATACTAGTCATTATATCTCACATGGAGTAGGTATCTAAAAATAACTGTAAAATTATAATAACAGCTATGAAAATATCAATAAGTATTTTAATCAAATATTTTCTTTAACATTATTATTTTCAAATGATGTACATATATGCATATATAATCACATATATAAAATATAAATGTTAATAGATATATGTAAATGTCAATATATTTTAATATATAAATATATTTAAATATGTAAATTTCAAGTGTTTATATAAAAATACTATTTTTAACCAACATTTAATTAGTAATGCCCAGAAAACATGAAGCAACAATTAAAAACCTACTAAATGACATAAAACTATTCCATTATGTAAAATAAGCTTTTAATTTTACACTAATTGCTATTCTTTGGTTATTTTTAAAGACTAGAGCATAAGTTCTATTATTAAAAATATAGCAAATCCTTAACATAATATATATTCCCTTATTTAGCACACAGACCATCCTGAAATGTCCCTACCTTTAAATCTTAAATTATAGTCAGGTAAAATGATAAAGTACTTCTATACTATGTAAAGATATTTAAACTTTTTTAGTTTTTCTTTCATTTTTTCTAGAAGTCCTGTGTTTCCTACATTATTTTCTGAATGCCTGATTTTAGAACAAGGCATCATGGCAAGGACAGATGAATAGGAAATAACATAGCTAGTGTTACAGGAAGCAAGATAAGGGACAAAATAATGCTTCCTTCTTGTTGGCATTATATACAACTGAGGACCTTGATAACTGATTCCATGTAAAGTATAAGAAAAAGCAGGTGTCAAGAATGAATTACTGAAATGAAAGTAAGGGCGTTAGTAACAATATTAGAAAAAACAAAATGTAAAATAATAGAATAATATTAAAAATTTGATGTCAGCAGATAGACGCCCTAGGTGAAATATTAGAAACACACAAGCTACCAAAGTTGTCATAAGGTAAAAGAGAATATCTAAACAGACCTATAACAAGAGAGATACTGACTATGTAATCAATAAGCTTGAAATGATGATAGCTTTGTCTAATATCTCAGTTTTCATAAATACTGTAGGTACAATTGCTAAACATAACAAAAGTCAACGTAAAAAGCATAAATATTTATAAATGAACATTACATGTTATTTGAGGTTTTAAAGTTATGTTATATTGAATTAAGCAATTCATTTTATTTACATTCATTAAATGTCTGGATCATATCCAAATGAGATAAAAACATGAACAAATCACTGAATATAATATGTTTGTTCTTGGTTTCTAAAATTTTATGGAAAGACTAACTGCATTTAGATCTCTTAATACTCATAAAAATTATGTTATGGGAAGCTGTGTTTTAAAAAATTATAAAAAGATTCTCATCTATACAATGCTAATATGTGATGGACCACTCAAAATTGGTTGATAGAAATTAATGTTATTTAGAGTTAAAATTCTAATTATTTTATTCCAATATACATAATTTTTAATAGAAATTATACCAAAAAAAGATGTATTTTAATAAGAAAGACTATTAAAAGGCATAAAAATGTGTCCTTATTAAGAAAAAAAATTTTAATTCAGAGTTTATTTAAAAGTTGTTTCAAAATATAAATTGAGGAAGAAAATAAAAGGAAGATAGAAAGAAAACAGTAAGTAGGAGAGATGTATATAAAGTAAGTTATATTTATAAAGATTTATTTTTGGTTAAAAAGCTTAAAAATTATTTTATATTAGAAAAATCATAATTTTTCTACAATAAAATGGGTGGTTGTTTAAGAAATAAGTATAGAACAAAGCCTGAAGTTTAAGCATATTATCAAAGGTCAGAGTAGGTCATGAAAGGTTTTGTAAATAATACATTTAAGAAAGAAATTTTATATGTGATCAATTTGGCTATAATTCGAAAAACAACTATTTATGTTCCTCTAAACATTGAGCTTTGATGTTAAAAATACACTGATGCAAAACTAAATGTTTAGTCACCTCAGTCAGAAGAAGATTTTCTTGAAGCACTGATTTGCTCCTAGTAAAATTGTAGGAGGGTTTGATTATTAATTCTAAAATATGTTTCTTTAACAGCCATCTTCTAAATTGCAGACAGTTTCCATTTATGCCACGTTTCTTCCTGAGATCGATTTAATTTCTCAAGTTTCCGGGTGGCAACATTCTCATCTTCATTTAGAGTGTTAGTTTTATCCCTTAAGGTAGAGTTTTTCTCTTAACGCTTCTAAAATTTGTATCTCTGAAGTTCAACTTTTGCTGTATCTTGCAGCACTTGATTTGCAGATCATGCATCATTGCCTTTAGCTCTTTCTCTCCTTGAAGAAAACCTGAGATCATAATTGTCTCCAACTTTTTATATCAGCTCCTGTAACTATTTTTCCCTCCAGGTGTCACTCTACTGTTATGACCTGACACTGAAGTGTTTATTTTGAAGGCCTAAAAAAATCAATGTTTCTCCCCAGAATTATTTTATTCTCTACTCTTCTTGGCTTTTCTTGGCATGTCTGAATTGCTTCATGCAACCAGAAACTTTCTCCTGATTTTACTTTTTCTAACAGTCATGTATTCCTCTGCTCAATATACTAGTTTTCTTGTTAACATTCCTATGTAATTTGGGTATAATACAGACAGGCATTCTTCTGTGTCTGAATTCAAGTATTTTTTTTTTCTCTCATTTAACTTTTTTAATGGGTCTCAAAATTCTGTGACAAATTTTTGGTCAAGTTGTTTCCATTAAAAAGTACTGATTTTAAAAACTAATAACTTAAAACTGCCACATGCAAATTAGGCTTAACTTCCAGGTTTTCTAAATGACTTCCCATAAGGAGAAGAAATTATACTGTAGGAAGTTCTCTTTAGCTTTTTGGCAACCGGCCAAAATAATAATAATTATAAAACAAGTAATTTGCATTTTATCAAGATAATTTCCTCTGTTGTCTACATTAGTTTTTTGATTACTTATAAAAAATAAACTTTGTAAGGGTTAAGAATTTTATATTCATGTAACTTTCTGTATTGCTTTTGAGGTCTTTTGATTATCACTCTAGTTAAATACATGACTATTATTTTACAATCACCTGTGATTCTGTTTTGTTCAAGTGTTTTAAACCTTCTGACATCTTTGGCAATATTCCCCAGGATCAAAATTCTAAATTAATTTCTTTGACCTAGAGTCAACTTTGTAATTTTCCAGTTGATCCCCTGGAGACCCTCAAAAAATGTATTTCTCATTTTAGAGATATTAAATGATTACACGTATCTAATCTAATTAGACTTACCTAATTCTTGCAAAATTTGGAAACAAGTTGTGAATATTCTTATGGTAATATGGTTTTTGCATAAGCCCAATAAAAATCTGTTATCTCTTTATAACAGAATACATCTGAAAACACTGATTATATAACCAAGACTGGCTGAAATGTCGTATTTCAGAATGTGCATGGAATGCCTGTCTTCAAGGGTTCCTAGCCTTGCAGAGAGTAGACAAAAATAGTCACTTTCTGGCAGACACAGGAAACTTAATACTGCAAGTAAAAGCTAACTTCTGTCCTCAGGATAGAAGTTTTATTTGGCTTTCCATCCTCAGGAAAATTTTAATCTGTTATTTTTATATAATCAATATATGGAGAAAGTTATACTCCTAAAGAAAGTTATAATATACCCATTATTAAATTGTAGCTCAGTGTATTGTTTTCATGTTCTTATTATCTACCTATAGACTGCACTAGATCTTGAATTCTTCCCCATTCCTCCAATACAACTTTATTTTGTATTTTTTTGGAATTATTAAAAGTGGGAACTGTTCTGTTTCTGAAGCCCTATAAGCTGAAACTAAATAAATTTTAAGGAACAAGTTTTGTGTCTGATGTATGGGCCACACAGAAAGTTTACAAAACCACCCAATGCCATAACCAGAGACACTCAAACTGCAAACCAGGACAAGAAGTTGATGTTTTTGTGCTGTAAACAGCTTCTCCCGAGATGTCAGAACAAGTCTCAATATCATAATGAAATTTTTACCTGTCTTTATGTCTACCTTTCTCACTTGGCAGGATAATGGTGTAATTGAACTTTCACAGTCAGTAGCTCATGCTGGTGACTTGGCAGAACTTAACCTAAGAGATAGTTTAGCATCTATTGGTTAAATAAGGAAATGTCTGTACTATTGCTAATACTACATGATGTACTTGGAAAAATTGCTGTGGGATAGATGAGACCCATATATTCAAAATAAGGAAACAAGTCCCATGGTTACAACAGTTCTCATCTACTTCCCTATGGTCATATGATTTATTCAATTGATTGCCTTTTAAGCAACTGGGATTGTCATATTACTATTTATTTTACTTTGTATATTTTTCAAACTTTGTTATCTGTTACTTGTTAAATTTTTTCAGAAGTACACTTCTTCACAAAATAATGTGAATGTAGCACTTTTACATGATGGCAAAAGATGACAGAATGGAAAATATTGAATTTAATTAAGGACTCCAGCTAGACTTAGCCGAGAGTCACTTTTTTCATAACTCTCTTGTAGCTTGAATGTGGCTTAAAGAGTTTTGACAGTTACTCCTACCTGCTGTTCACTCCCTCCAATGTGGCACTAGACCTGGAATAGTAAACTGGGATTGGTCTTCCCGGCACCAAGGAACAATCAAAGACTAACTACAGGATAAATAGATTATGCTTTTGGAAAAAAAACTCTGATAAACAGAACCAGGAAAGGCCATGAAGAAAAGGGTTCTCATGGCTGATAACAAAAATTACACAAATAGCTCTGCAAAAACTGCAACTTTGCAAAAAGGCCATCACAACTTTACACAAAAATTAATTCTGTGGGAACATCTGCCCAGCAATTGCCTCTATAACCTCAGAGTGATTTTACCTGTTATTTATCCTTGTGGCTAAGGATAATACTCTCAAAACAATTATGTAATCCTTATCACACTTTCTTTAAAATATCTGTCTTTCTTTACCTCTGTGAATTCATACATAATTTACTATGGCATATGCATTCCCATTGCAGTCCCCTATTCCTGAATAAGTATTTTCTTTTAGAGAGCCTCTGCCTCTGTTTGTCACTTGTGCTGACAAGCCTTGTGGGTTAGAGTTGAGTGTCCAGCAATAAACTCATATATCCAAGGCCAACTGATGTTCAACAAGGGTGCCAAGATTATTCAGTGAGAAAAACACAGTCTCTTCAACAAATAGTAATGAAACAAGTGTTTACTGAATGCAAAAGATTAAGCTGAACTGTTACAACACAGTGTATAAAATAATTAAATTAAAATGAATCAATAGCAAATCTAAGAACTAAAACTATAAAACTCTCAGAGGAATGCGTAGAATGAATTAGCATAACTTTGTATTTGGCAATGGATTCTTAGACACCAAAAGTACAAGCAATAACAGCAACAAACAAAATAAATTAATAAACTTCCTCAATGAAAAATTTTTGTCCCTCAAATGACATTATCAAGAAAGTAAATGACAAAACACAGGATGAAAAAAATGCAAATGATGTATACAAAAAAGGTCTAATATCCAGAATAAATATACTGTAACAACTCAACAACAAAATGATAAACATCTAAATTCACAAATTGGCACAAGACTTGAATTAACATTTCTCTAAATATACACAAGTGGACAAAAATCACATGAAAAGATGTTAAACATTATTAGTCAATAGTGACATGTAAATTGTAACCACAAAATACAAGTTCATATTCACTAGGATTGGTATAATTTTTTAAAAGAAAATAACAAGTATTAGAGAGAATATGGAGAAACTGGAACCATTGAACATTGCTGTTGGAATGTAAAATGATGTAGTCACTGTGGAAAAACAAATTTCAGTTTTTAAGAAATTAAACATAGAACTACCCTATGTGTTAACAATTCCAGCCTTAGTTACATATCTAAAGAATAAAAAAAACACAAGTATTTAAACAAATGTGTATACATAAAAGATGATAGCATCTCTCTTCACAATATTCAAAAGATGCTATCTGCAAATGTGTATAACGTTACACTGGTAAAACTAATCAGATGATTATAAAATGAATAAAGGATTATTCTTATTTTAATTTTCTGTAATAGTAACTGCAGGTAAGTTATTGACCATCTGGACACTGCTTAAAAAGATTTAAAAACTTGTTAAAGAGATTTCACATATTCCATACTGAAATTCAATTCTTTGGGGAGGCTTCATTCTGATTTTTTCGCTTGTTTTTAATAATATCACAGAAAGCTAGATCAAATGTTAGTGTAATTTTGTATATTTTTCTTTAATGCCTATGAATCAAAATTTAATAACTAAATTTCACAGTATCAATATGTTAAATTTAATTAAAGTCACTGCTATTATTATCCTTGGCACTCTCTGGATTTATGCCAGTTTCTCAGATGAAAGAAAAAACAGTAATTTTGTAAGCCAATGTTGCAGTTGTCTCTATGTAATTGAATAGTAATATGTCCTATTTATACCAAATTTGAACAAGTATGCTTTTAATACAGATATTAATTACATATGTTAAGAACAAGACAATGTAATCCAAAAACACATTAAAGTGTAACTGAAAGCTACAAAAGCTTGAAAATATCCAAAACAGCTGTTAAATGTTTGCAAATTAATTTTTCTTGTTATCCAAAGAGTGTTATAAAAGTAGAGAGAAGTGTACAAATGTTGGGAGAAAAAAATCAGTAAAAATTCATAATAGGTAGGATTTATTTTCTTAATGCAAAATAGATTGATTTATGGAGGAACAGAGTGAAGGAGGAGAACATACGCTCATTATTGACATAAATAAGTCTATTTTGAAATATTAACTTTCATAAGAGGAATAATTTGTTACACACAATAGAAATAATTCCTAAAATAACTTTTTAAATCATTGACTTACACGAAGATGATTTCTAATGTAAAAATTCCATTACTTGTAATCACAAAAACAAATTTGACCGTAACAAAAAATTTAAGTAATTTTAAAGAGTAGAAAAGTAATTTCATTACAAATTAGCACATTTTAAGATTATTGAATTTTAATAGTTTAAAATTTCTTAACCTAGGGTATAGATAAACCAGTCTATTTGAAAATCGCTCTATAAGCCAAATGAAGCAGATAAATTAGTTTTAAGCCTTATGAAAGTGGTTACTGTAGGCTTCAACTAAAATAAGCAAAACTCTCTGGCAAAGAGACAAAAACGTCAGTTATCCAGTTTCATGAATTAGAAGAATGACAGACAAACCATATAAAAGCAATAGAATTCCACTTAATTTGCTTTCACTAGTACCTGATATTGCTCTACTCTCCAGCATTGTGCAACAATTTGCCTGTAAGATTAAATAATTTTGAAAATAATATCCTGTATTCTAAGACTTAGGAGAGAAAAATGTATTAATTCGTAGATAAGAATAATTTAAAGTAAGGTCTTAGAATACACGAAAACATTAATCTGTAAATCAAGATTTGCTCTTTGGAGAACACAGAACCCTATACAACTGGTGTGGATAAAGCCTGGGTAGAATGACGAGAAGAGTTAGCAAGATGAAAGTTATACCAGAAAAGCGTAGCCACATTAAAAAATAGTGCCAACCGAAAAATGAATATAATAGTCACATGTAACCATGAACATACTGATAGAACCAAAGGAGGCCGTGTAAGCAGTGAGAAAATGTAGTTTATGGATTCAGATTGTAAAGGGAACTGCAAACAAGGTAGTTTGAGATAAAGAAGTAAAGAGGTTAGTCCTGTAAATCTCACTATATTTTACTTATACTTTTAACCCAATAAAATAAAATATAAACAAAATCACATTATTTTCAGTAGCAGTACTTTGTCAAAAATTCAAAATATGGAATATAAGCATTGAATTCGAATATTTGAAATATTTGAGGTTCTCAATTGCTAAAATATGCTACTGATTTTATATAATACACACAAATATACTTACTAATATTTACACTTAAATACACTTATTTAAACATTTTGAATTTTTTCCCTGAGGCTCTTGCAATTATGCCGTCAATATTTTTTTCGTTGGTATTTGTGGTGGTCTATTTGGTGTGTAAACTTGGCTTGGCTACAGTCCTCAGTTATTCAATCAAACACTAATCTAGGTGTTGCTGCTAAGGTATTTTTTAGATGTGATTAAAGTCCATAATCAGTAGATTCTAAGGAAGTCAACTTGAATTAAGAAAGATATTCCAGCCGGGCGCAGTGGCTCACACCTGTAATCCCAGCACTTTGGGAGGCCAAGGAGGGCGGATAACGAGGCCAGGAGATCAAGACCATCCTGGCTAACACGATGAAACCCCGTCTCTACTAAAAATACAAAAAAAATAGCTGGGCATGGTGGCAGGCACCTGTAGTCCCAGAAACTCGGGAGGCTGAGGCAGGAGAATGGCGTGAACCCGGGAGGCGAAGCTTGAAGTGAGCCGAGATCACGCCACTGCACTCCAGTCTGGGTGACAGAGCAAGACTCCATCTCAAAAAAAAAAAAAAAAAAAAAAAGGAAAGAAAGAAAGAAAGATAGATATTTCTAGACATTCTGATAGTGTTCCCATCACCCGTTGGCTATTTCCAGTGGTAAAGAGGAAACTTGTAGTCCATGGAAACTTATGACAATAGAAATGCACAAAATACTGGTATTAGATAATTCTAACGAAATACCTATAGACAGCAAGGGTGAGGGTTACCACGTATTTTTTCCTCTAGAGTATTTTATCAAAATGAGTGTTAGCTGGCTGTTACTACACTGAGAATGTATGGAAAAAGAATGGGCTTAGGGTTTCAAATTTTACAGTCAGGGTCCACATAAATTATCTGAAATCATTGATACCTGGTCCTGAAATAAACCTTTTTTCTCCTCTAGCTGCAGGTCAAGGTCTCTGAAAAGCAAATCCAAATCTCATTTTTTAAGTATTAAATTACAAACACAAATTTCTACTTATGTGAGGGCATGATTGAGAGGGAATGGGACCTGTCCCTACCACTAGTCTTTGATTTTGGAACTGTATACTAGACTCATGTCCCCGCATGCCCCACAGGTTTGAGTCACAAAGTACAGTTTTTGATAAGGTATGCTACAGACCAAATGAACTGCATGACTTTTTCAATTTATACAGAAATCTGATAATACATGTGGGTATAAACTGTATGGGGATGGAATCATGGAATCATTTTTAATATGATATAAAGTTGAATCAGGATGAATTTTCTGGTATGAGCCCCATAAGCAGATATTCTGCATTCAGTGTTGCAACTTAAGGTGCTAAAAATGGCTCTGGCAGTTTGTTTTCTTGGTTTGCTGAAACATGAACTCAAATGTAGCCTTCAGCAAAAGAAGCTGAAGTGCCAAAATTGCCTTTATTTGTTGTAGGGGTGGTTATACAAAGGCTTATGGGTATTGAAATATATTGCATTATTACATAAGACTTGAATATCCACTTTGAGAAGGTCTAGAAAACACATCTTTTACCATGATTGTTAGAAATAAATGTGTGAAGTGAGTTTCATCATACTTGAAGAATGGTGTAGTTATTCTCTCGATTGGCCAGAAATTACAGTAGAAACTGCTACCACTGAAATGAGAAGCTAAATGCTGTGGGGACAATAAAAGTGGCATGGGCTAAGTGAAGACACGCAAGAAAGTGGAGTGGACCTCTACAAGCTATGAATCAAATCAGCTGGCACCTTGATCTGGGAGTTCCCAGACTCCATAAGCATGACAGATAAATTTGTATTGTTTATGCCACCCAGCCTGTGGTATTTCATTAAAGCAGACAGAGAAGACTAATACATCAATGACTGAAAGATCTGCTAGTTTTAAATAAAGTCCAGCAAAAGAAAAGGCTCTACAATAGGTACAGGCTGCTCTGCAAACTACTTTGCTACTAGGGCCATATGATCTAGCAGATTTGTTAGTGCTTAAAGTGTTAGTGGCCGACAGAAATGTCATTTAGTGCCTTCGGTTAGCTTGTATAGGTAAGATAACACAGATCCTTAGAATTTTGGATCAAAGCTATGCCATAGTCTGCATATGACTGCACACATTTTTAGAAAACCAGTGTTTGGCTTGCTATGAGGCCCTTATAAAGACTAAGCACGTAACCATAGGCAATCAAGTTACCATTGGAACTGAGCTGCCCATCAAAACATCATAAACTGGGTGTTGTCTGACCGCAAGTTTGGGCATGCACCTATATGACATTGGGCTATATGCAGAAGAGGCCTACATGACACTGGGCGTCAGCAGACTCTGAAGACAAAGTACATTGCGTAAGAAAGTGCCCAAATACACATAGCCCCTACTCCTTCTATACTACCAGGCCTACATCTATGGCTTCATGAGAAGTTCCCTACAACCAACTGACTAAGAATGAGAAAACACAGACCTCATTTAAAGATGACACTGCACAATATGCCTCTCCACCAAAAAGTGAACAGTGACAGCATGATAGCTGTTTTCTGGGACATTCCTGAAGAATAGTGGTGAAGGGAATCCTGCCAATGAACGGAACTTTGAGCAGTACACCTGATTGTTCCTGTTACCTCAGAGCTGAAATCGCCAGATGTAAGAGTCTGTATTTATTCACAGATAGTGGCCAATGGTTTGGTGGATGCTCAAAGAAGTAGAATGAACACAACTGTGAAATTGATGATAAGCAAGTCTAGGGAAGAGGTATGTGGAAAGACTTTTCTAAATGGGCAAATTATATTTGTATCCCAAATGATGACTTTAGCAGATGATTTTTAATAATCTAGGATAGTATGACTCAGTCTATGGATATCAGTCAACCTCTTTCCCCATCCACTCCTGTCATTGTTCTTTGGGTTTATGAAAAAGGTAATCATGATGGCATGAATGGAGGTTTTGCATAGGTTCAACAACCTGGACCTCAAGTTACCAAACCTGAACTGTCTATAGCTCTGCTGATTGCCCAATCTGCCAGCAGTGGAGAACGACAATGGATGCCTGATATGGCTCCATTTCCTGAGGTGATCAGCCAGCGACCTAGTTGCAAGTTGATTAGATAGAGCTCTTTCTCTCAGGGAAAAAGCAACACTTTGTTTACTGGAATAGATACTTCAAATATGGACTTATGCCAAAAGTATCATCCATGGGCTTAGTGAATGCTTTATCTACCATCATAGTATTCTACATATTATTGTTTCTAATCAAGTAATTTGGTTCACATCATATGATATGTGGCTTTGGGCCCATTAACATGGAATTCACTGGTCTGACCATGTTCTCTCCTCCTGATGTATCTATCTGTATTAAGGGTGAACTGGCATTTTGAAGTCTCACTTATAGCACTTGGTGGTAACAATACCTTGCACAACTGAAACACTGTCCTGCAGGTTACTCTATATCATCATCCACTATATGGTACTATTTCTTCTACAAAATAATTAGTTCAGGAATCAAAGTGGGGAGATAGGAGTGGCTCCCCTCACTGTTTTCCCTAGTAATGTAATATAAACATTTTTTGCTTCCTGTCCTTTTGACCTTAGACTCTGTTGGCCTAGAGGTCTTACTTCAAAAGAAAAGAAAACTTCCATCAAGAATTAGGTATCACCATGAATCACCACAATGAGTCCATTGAACTGGAAGTTGAAACTCTCATCTGGCCACTTTGAGCTTCCCATGCATCTGAATTGAGAGAAAAAAGAAAATGCGGTTAGTGTACAGGCCAAGGTAATTGATTCTGATTAACAATATAAAATTTGATTTCGACTACACAGTGAAGGTAAGAAAAAGTATGTTTGGAATATAGCAGATCCCATACAGTATCTCTTAGTAGTCCTACCATGTACTGTGATAAAAGTCAATGGAAAATATAAAAACTGATTTCAGAAAGGACTGCTGTTACTCCAGATCGTTTAAGAATTAAGATTTGGGTCGCTCCACTTGGACAAGTACCACAACTAGCTTAAGTACTTGCTCAGGGCAAAAGGAATACAGACAAGTGATGGGAGAAGGTATTATGACCATGTTACCAGCTGCAGATATGAGCACTGAAGATCTGTAATAGTTACAGGTATTTCTTGTTTGTTAGGAGTTTGTGTGTGAGACACACACACACTAAATTTTTGCTCTCTTCCTTCTCTTATACCCTTACCATCTAACATAAGGTTAATAATAAATTTATATAGCAGTATTTGATTTACAGAATATTAAATAAGAGTGAACATCACCCAAGGACCTTGTATCCTCTTCTGGGAAAAGGGTTAGAATATTTGCCATTGTGTGTACAGTTGTCCATTGAACAACAAGGGTTTGAACTGTGTGGGTTCACTTACTATATGCAGACTTTTTTCAATAAATACAGTGCGCCCTTCATTATAAGTTTCTCATCTGTAACCAAATGCAGATTAAAAATGCAGTTATTTATGGTATGCAAAACTTTTCCTATCCCTGAGTTCTGCAGGGCCAACTATGGGACTTGATTATGGGTGGGTTTTGATATCTGCAGGGGTTCCTGGAACTAATGTCCCATGTACATGAAGGAGTGACTATAGTTATATCATGTTAGATGGAAGTCTGACTTTGTTACTGTCTTTAGTTGGAGATTAGGTATGGTTTAAGAAGATATATTTGGAGGCCATATTTTATATGTTCATTCATATTTCTAAAAGACATATTTCTGGGTGAAACAAAAGTTTTAAAACTATATAACTATTAGCTTATATTATAAAATTATTAAGTTTATAATCAAATATAGCCACAGTAACATAATAAAATTTACTCTCACAGTCTCAAAATGTCTAGGTTTTAAATATGGCAAATTAGTGTTAAATTTACAATAACAACTAATATTAAACATGTCCTTAATTTGCACCTCTTCACAAAAGAGAGTTTCTCTATGTACAGCACTGTACAATACTGGTGGTAGTTAGTTCCTTCAGCCCACTGAAGCTATCATTTCACTGGTTTCCATTCTTTTGGTTGTTTAGCTAACTTCCTTGCCTTTGAAGCTAATTTGTCTTTTTTGCTGTTGTTCATGACTACTTTGCAAAACTTCTCTTATTTTTGGTATGTTTCTTTTTTCAAAACGATAAACTCATCTTTAACCACCTGTTGTGTTATGTTAAATATTGTACTAACATAGTATATATATATATGTGAACTCTCTCTAATCCACATTTTGTAAATGAAGAATTTGAGTTTTAATGATGTGGTTGCTTGTCCAAGGACACAAAGCTAGTAAGTTGCAGCCTGGATTCAAACCTAGATGGCCCTATTTCCAGAATCACTGATTTTAAATCACGACTTGACATTGCTTAATTTTTTTGTTGTTGTTGCCTTTTAAGTTATCCACTATCTTTCACTGCCTGTGGTAAACACATTCAGAAACACTTTCATCACTTTTGAAAAATTCTGTCATCTTCAAATATTACTGCAAACCAAATTTTGCTTTCCTTTCCTTCTAGAAATATGGTTAAATGTATTTTAGAATTTCTTATTTTGTCTTACATGTTAACATCTTGTTTTATGTTTTCCATCTTTCTTCCTCTCAGCACTGCTTTTTGAATAACCTTTTCTGTCATATTCACTTCATTAATCCTTTCTCCAGCTGTGTCTAATCTGTTGTTAAACTCCTTTATTGAATTGTAAGTTACATTTGTTCTATTCTGCTCTTATAGATTACTTTTTTTTAATTCCACTGAGTAACTTCTTTGGTTTTATGATCATTGCAGATATTTTCAAGCTAGTCTTTAGTTTCTTCAAACCTATTAAACAGCTTCAGAATGTCTGGAATTTAAATATAACTAATTAGTAACAGCATTCACTATTCTAGATATGTATAAATGACTCATAACTGGGATTTTTTTATTGCCTAAAATATTTGAAGGTTTATATCTAATGGTTAACACCTTAGAACCTAATCCCTTTGCATGCTTATGTTTGATTCTTTCATGTTCAATGCCCTTGAAAATATTCTTACAGGAATTTTTTAAATTTTATAAGGAATAATCTTTTCTCCACTGAAGGTTTGATTTGCTTCTGCCAGGAACATGAAAACACTAATATGCTGTGATCACTTTATACTAGAATTGTAGCTTGAAGGCTTTTGCCCAGCACCAGTCAACTATTTTTGTCATCTTCTAGATTTTGGATTTGCAGTAGGACAGTTCATTTTGACTTCCCTCTTTCCCTAATGGTATATTTCTTCCTAGCCCAAAATGTGCACTCTCTGTGTGTGTGTGTGTGTGTGTGTGTGTGCGTGTGTGTGTGTGTGTGTGTGAGTAGGCTTTCAGCTATAGGAAATCCTTGAAATCTGTGCTGTTTCTCTCATAAAGTTGGAGCAAATTCTCTCTTAGAGAAGATTCAATAGTAAGCTTAAATTGTATATGCTTTTAAAAAATAATTGCCTGGTATTTTCTTATTGTTTTGCAATTAATGTAGTTAAGCTTTAAAATTTATTTTGTTAAACATTTTCATAGATTTCTTTAGAAACATCATAGTAATAAATTATAAATGGCAAATTTTTACAGCCAAATAAACAGAATAGACAAACCAGTCATTTTGGACAATTTGACAGTCAAAATGACTTGTATTTCTTAAATCAGAAAATGCAGATATATGGTGTCATTTACTATACTTCAACAATAAATTATTGTTATTTTTGTGTGAAAGTTTTATATTCAGAGTAGATTGTATGGCCAGGTGAGAAAATGCAAATTAAGCAAAGAAAATAATTGGTTAATATAGGGAATTAATTTTACTCAGTAATAAGGAGAAGTTTGGAAGAATGGATGAGGAGGAAAATTTCTGGATTGTTTATATTAACTGATTTTGTCACTACATATTTGTTTGGTGTTTCACCTTAATCTATCTAGATCAATATCATTTGACACTGTGAAAAATTGATTTTAAGAAATCCTGGTCATATGCAGTTGCTCCCACATGTAACCCCAGAACTTTGGGAGGCCAAGGAGGTGGATTTCTTGAGCTTAGGAGTTCGAGACCAGCCTGGGCAACATGGTGAAACCCGTCTCTATGAAAATACAAAAGATTAGCTGAGCGTGCTGGCATGCTCCTGTAGTCTAAGCTACTTGAGGGGCGGAGGCTGGAATTTTGCTCAAGCCTAGGAGGTCCAGACTTCAGTTTGCTGAGATCACACCACTGCACTCCAACCAGGGTGACAAAGTGAGACCCTGTCTCAAAAAATAAATAAATAAAAGAAAAGAAAAGAAAAAAGAAAAAAAAAGAAATCCTATCTATTATTTAAAAGTTTACATGGTTAATCAGCCTCTTATACAATTGCACCATCATTTTGTCTTAAAGCAAACCTAAAAATGTGATACATTCTAAAGAACAGCCATCAAATATGTACATTAATTAGTTAATAGTGCATACCTTACCATTATCTAATAAAAATTATATACAGTTGTTCTATATGTGGAATTGACTTGCTAGGTAACATCCAATAAAATCATTATTTATTTTCAAAGGTGATGTTTACATGTGTATGTATAGATATATATAATATAGATATGTATATTTCCAGAATAAGTTTTTCTGCTTAATGTATTTATCTAGTCAATCTAGTATATGACAACTTCACTATAAACATATCTAATTTTTGATGACCAATAGTCACGTTGTTTTGCCAATTTAAAACTAGTTTATTATTTTATACTTATCAATGAATACTTGTTTCTGATTCATATCAAGTAAGCTCATGCTTAAAAAATGTATATGAAGTTGAAAACAACTTAGGCAAGTAAAATACCCTAAAAAAATCCGTTTAAAGTGTTTATCCTAATTAGTAAAAAGAGAGAGGTGGCTTTTAAAATTAAAATTAAAGTTTTATTTGTTGCCTCAGTTCTTGAGAAATGTCATATGTGATATAGCCCATTGGGTTGTATATTGTGTATTATCTTGTGCTAAGTCACAACAGATGATTAAGCTCTTTAAAAATTAGTATAAGAAGATAAATTAATTAAGACATAAACTTATTCTAAAGTTTTCTAATTAGCAACTTATTGGTTGTTACAGTACATATAGATAAAATATATTTTATCTGGAATTCTTAAAAGAATGGATGGTATATTGCTTTGCTTTAAAAATATTAGAAAAATCTTAATAGGCTTTGCCTGCAAGCAGTGAAATTGTATTACAGACTTCTCAAGTATCGGCAGTTTTTATGTTTGTTGCTGTTTTTTGTTTGTTTTGGTTTGGTTTTTTTTGAGAAAGTGTCTCCATAGGTCACCCATCGCCCAGACTGGAGTGCAGGATGTGATCATAGCTCAGTGTAGCCTCAAATTCCTGGACTTAAGTGATCCTCCCACCTCAGCTTCCCAAGCAGCTGGGACCACAGGTGTGCACCACTGCACCTGGCTAAATTTTAAAATTTTTTGTAGAGTTGGGATCTCACCATGTTTCCCAGGCTGGTCTCAATTTCTTGGGTTAAAGCAATTCTCCCACCTTTGCCTCCCAAAGTGCTGGGATTACAGGAGTGAGTCACCAGACTCGGCCATAGCAGTTCTTTTTAAGAAGGTATGTGACAATTGGTAAAGTGGGCAACTTGCAAGAAGTCGATAATAGGAAATATAATACAGTTAGCCATGGAAACTGGTACTGCTTTTTATACTACAGAAACAATATTTATGTATGCATGTCTGTGTGTGTATGTACATGTGTATATATATATACACACATACTAATTTTTATCATTAATATGAGTCAGTTCCTTACTAGGTCAGTTGCTTCTCTTTGTAGAATATATCTTTTTAAAAAATTTAACCAATTAGCTGCTTCTTTTAGAAGTTACCCACTGGAATTCATAAAAGAGATGAAAGAGAGCGAGAGAGAGAGAGAAAGAGAGAGAGATGACTATTAGCCAAGTACTTGAAATTACTAGGACAAAGGCATGGATAAAATAGAGCTCCTGCTTTCATGGAGCTTTACAATCAGCTAGTATATAAATTATATAGGGTATGTAGAAATTATATAAATTATGTCAGTGATAAACATCTGAAAAATGAAGAAAGATAAGTGTTTACAGCACAATGGTGTGGAGGTGATTGTGCTGGTATGCTGGTATTCTGGGTAATCACAGATGGTTTTTCTTAAGATACCTAAGTAGAAATTTGAAAGGAGTGAGGGAGTAAGGCAAGCATGTATCTGGCAGCTAGTCGTTCAGGTGAAAAAGAGACCAAATTCCAAGGCTGTGAGCTAGCTTGATGTGGTTGAGAATTACAAGGAGTTTAGTGCTGTCAGCAGTAAAACATATTGAGGCTACAGAAGATGAGGTAGGAAAGGCATTTAGAGCCAGGTTTTGTGGAAATTTTAGGGCCATGTAAAGACGTTGGATTTAACCTAGGTAAGTAGACAGGGTATTTAAAGATTTCAGCTGAGAATCTCTGGCTGATTTGCAGAGAAGATAGAAAATACCAGGAGGTCTTTCCTAGATAGTGAGTTGAAATTAAGTAATAGGTATGCAGGTGAGAAAAAAAGTAGTGAGTTTCCAAATAATTTATACAGCTTACTGATTACTTGAATCTGATGTTCAGAAGAAAACTTTCTCTTGCTCTTTCTACCCCTTTTAACCTCCTCTCTATCATCCTGCTTCCTTTCTTTCCTTTCTTCTTTCCTTCCTGACACCATTTCCATAATGTCAACTTTTTCATTCCTAGCAACTCATCAAAGACTCTTAAACTAGCCAAGGTTCAAAGTGTAAAAGATAATGCTACCTATACTATATGAAAAGAACAAAAGGAAATGGTATTATCAGCAAGTTGTTTTGTAAATTCCTTTCTCTACATTATCCTATTCCATTTGATGCTGATGAATATCTTCGTTATGTACATGTGTACATGAGTGAAATTATTCACTTAATCTAGCAGTACATAGTATGCAGAACACTTAGAGGAGAGGTAAATTTATGAAGAAAACATTCTGATACTTCAAAGACTGAACTATTATAATAGATTCAGTGACAGTCTCAACTTCTATCAATCCCCATACAATATCATAATAGCTATGTTGAAAATAATGTATCATTTAAATGAACAAAAACCTAGAATGATTCAAAAACAACTAAGTCAAGATACCTATCACTCTCAAACTTTGACTCTGAGATAGATGACTTAGCATCTATCTTAGAGCGAAAGTTTAAAACATAAGCACAAATGTTTTATGACTCACATTACAATAAACAAACACATGTGCAAGCCAAACATACCTTCTTCTTGGGTTCACAATTTCATTTATAATGGGGTCTGGAGTTTGGCAGCCAAGTTCCTACTTTTTCAGTAGTTGATATTTACTATAGTGATTTCACATTGGGCTTAGAGCCAAAGGTTGCTTTGACAGATTTACATAAGGGAGTATTGCTGTGGTTCTCCTGTTGTTTTTTGTTTTATCACCTGCTTATTGACGACAACTTAGAATCACTAAATTTGGCAGTACAACATGTGAGTGATAAAATTATTAATAATCGAAAGACATTATGAAACATATGCATTCTCTGAATACTTCTAACAATAACAGTTATTCTATCCTTAAGTATTACAACAATGTTTGAAGATCTTTTAAATGTACTTGTACAAGTTTTAAATGAAAAAATGTCTTTGAAATTGCCTCTTAACCCCTAAAATCTTTCTGAAATCTCCACACTTGTCTCCATCTCTATTGCGATGCACCTCACCTGACTCACTTGAGCCTGCACCATTGCCATAAACTAACAGCTAGCTGTGCTTTCTGGTTTCTTTTTTTTTTTTTTTTTTTTGAGACGGAGTCTTGCTCTGTCACCCAGGCTGGAGTGCAGCAGCGTGATCTCAGCTCACTGCAACCTCCGTCTCCTGGGTTCAAGCGATTCTCCTGCCTCAGCCTCCTGAGTAGCTGGGATTACAAGCACGCATCAGCCCGCCCAGCTAAGTTTTGTATTTTTAGTAGAGACGGGGGTTTCACCATGTTGGTCAGACTAGTCTCAAACTCCTGGCCTTGTGATCTGCCCACCTTGGACTCCCAAAGTGCTGGGATTACAGGCTTGAGCCACCTAGCCTGGTTTGTTTGTTTCAACCCCCACAGCGACACCTGACACCTCACTCCC
The DNA here is from genome assembly GCF_000001405.40 of Homo sapiens. NCBI lineage: Eukaryota > Metazoa > Chordata > Mammalia > Primates > Hominidae > Homo > Homo sapiens. The sequence continues at coordinate 132,511,800 of NC_000004.12, read as the reverse complement.
ACTCCCTTACTCCCCTGCTCCGGTTTCTGTTTTTTCTTCAGAAGACACAGTAATCTTTTAATCCTATTAGGGCACTACTAGCTTCATATTCTAAATGAATACCTAGGGTTCAAATCCAATTTTCTTAATCTGGTGTGTACAATATTATTTGAGAGCCCCTCTCTTTCCCTCTCCAACTTATTTCTTTTTCTTTTTGCTTATTGTAGTTCCAACTAGCTATCTATAGATGTTTTTTGTTGCCCGGATGCCAAACTGTTTGTTCCTTCTTTCAAGTCAATGCACCTGGTGCTACCTCAGTCTAAATGCTTATCATCCAGATATTCCCACCTGTTTTTCTAATTGTAAAGTGTCAGCTTCCACCTCCTCAGGGAAAACTTTCTTGATTATCCAATCATAAATTATAACCCCTACCCAGTCATGTCATATCAAAGCAACTTTTTCACGGTTACCTGCTATGCTCACGTTGATTTATTAATTTTACTATCTATAACCAGAACAAAACTTTATGAAAGTAATACATTTGCTAGATTTCAAATTTCCTTTTGCTTTTCTTTCTCCATTACTAAACCTGCAGTTTTAAGAATGCTATCTGGTATTTAATGGGTGAAGAGTACAGGCCAGTTATGTTGTGCTTCTTTGATCATTTCATAAGGTTAGATTTGGGATATGCACATTTGGTAGGAATAACACAGAAGTGATATTTCGCTCTTTTAAATGTATACTCAGGTGGTCACATGAGATTAATTTGTTTTTTTATTAATGATATGAACTTTGATCACCTTATTAATGTGGAATCTACAAGATTTCTCCATTGTAAAGCTACCACATTTCCCTATGTATTTAAAAAGTTTCTTACAGGAGTATACTTTGAGATTATCTCCATATCCTATTACTCCTTAACTTTTTTACCCCAACATTTTAGCATCCATTTATCGTTTCTATTTTTATGATTATAAAATTGTTATCTAGCTAAATTATCCCACTAAATTTATTCATTTTGTTAAGGTAGGATCAGCCATTTTTCCTAATCATATTTTTTCTTTTGTCATCCAGTATCTTTCATTTATCATCCAATATCTTCTGGAGAAATAGTTCTTATGATTCTTCAAGTATTTACGTACCAGTGTAGCATCCATCCATAAGTTTGATAGTTGCAAAATGATGGTTCCTAATTTAATAACTTCTTTTAAATGTATTTGGTGAAATTCTAATGTAAATTTGTCCTTCTTTTCTATTTATTTAATTATTTATTTATAACAATGCAGGCTTTTGGATTCTTTCTAAAGAGATGCTTTGTCTTTTAATGTTGTTATTTATTTTGTTGCTCACATTGTTTCAGATTTCGATGGTAGATCTCCTTCAAGCTGGCCTTTTTGCTCTACTGACATTTTTCATTCATTGCTTGAGTACTTCCTTATTTTCAGGTTTCTGCCAGAAAAGTGAGAGCTTTATTTGGGTCCCATCTGTGCTCCTTCCTGTTTGGGTGCCATTCCCTTTAGGAACTTTCCAGTGAACAAGCCAGGGAGTTGATGTATATATTTGTATATGTGCATGTATATAGATGTGTATACACATATCCTTCTGCATGTGTACAGATATACACATATTTATATACACAAATGCATATTATATATGTGTTTATCTCTCCATATCTTAAAATCATAAGGTGAATTCAAGCAGAGTTTTTAAATTCCATTTAAATACGACAGTTTCTTTTTTCTCCTTCCATATTTTTGTCAGCATAAAAAATGAATATGAATCTCTAAGTAAAAATGTTTTCTTTGGGAATAATATACAAGAAATAGGATTGTTATTTGGGATATACATACAGAGCAAGTGGCCTCCAATGTGTCTGGAGAATAAAAGAAAAAGTTAGGTTTTACTAGGGAAAGAAGAGTGGATTTGAAAGAAAGTTGCCAAAAAAGTTTATTGGCACTGGCTGCATCTTACAAGATTGGACGAGCTCTGATTGGTGCCTGTCAGTAGGTAGAACTTGTTCTAGGTAGAATTTGTAATCTTGGAATTAGGATTAGGCCCTTGCAGTTTTGGACTGGGTTTGAAAGACAATATGTCAGGCAAGTGTTCTTGTATAAGTAGCTGGCTGTCCTGCTGCTACTAGCTGTCCTTGTGTGACTCATGTAGTAAGCTGTGATTTGAAAAAAAAAAAATTATTTTGATAGTTTTTGTTACCAGGCAAATCATATATTAGAGCACTCTCTTTATAGCCTTTCCAGGCTCCATTTTACCATGTTATCTGGATGACTTTCACATTTGTAATCCATTTTCTGACAGTGGAAACTTTACATCTATCATCCACAACATATTTATTAATGTGCTAAGGTCTAAAATGCACAAAAATTAGTTCAGAATTGTCGATCTATGCCTTGGCAAAAAAGAAGACTTCTAACTATGGCTCAATATTTGTGTAAAGATTATTTATTCTCTATCCTTGATCCATAGCTTCCAAAAACTGTGTTCATGAGTTAACTGATACAGTTCTTTCTGTTCCTCTTCAGTGTGGTTATGTTTTTACATTGAAATATTGTAATTCATTTGTTTTATTTTGTAGTCCATTTTAGTTCCCCTGTCACTTGTGGATTTTATTTAGTTTTATTAGTCATTCTGTTGTAGTTTCCCTAGTTATCCACTTGTTTGAAGGAGGTTCTTCTCATAGTAGATATTAATGAATGGTTCATAGATGTAAAATATCCTAAACTCTTGGTATTTAAAACCATATCTATAGTCTCAATGAAGGAAGAACAGTTTTACTGGCTATAATACCTAGGTTAAAATGTTCTTGCCAGCCAGGCGCAGTGGCTCATGACTTTTAATCCCAGCACTTTGGGAGGCCAAGGCAGGTGGATCACAAGGTCAGGAGTTCAAGACCAGCCTGGCCAATATGGTGAAACCCTGTCTCTACTAAAAATACAAAAATTAGTCGAGCGTGGTGGCGTGCACCTGTAGTCCCAGCTACCCGGGAGGCTGATGCAGGAAAATCACTTGAACCTGGGAGGCAGAGGTTGCAGTGAGCCAAGATTGCACCATTGCACCCTAGCCTAGGTGACAGAGTGAGATTCATCTCAAAAAAAAAAAAAAAAAAAGTTCTTGCTGTAGCTCTGTTTTATTTTCTTTATGTGTTGTTTTTGAGAATCCTGATGCCAACCTAATTCTAATACATGTGTAAATCATTTAATCTTTCTTCCTGGAGGCACTGTGTATTTATTCCTTCTTAATAATTAATTGTTTTCTTAGAATATATCATGGGGTTGATCATTGTAAGTCAATTTTTACTAGTTCCCTTTTGAACAAATATGTATACATTTGAATCTGTAGGAATACATATAGGTAGATTCAAATATTATCGTATGTTCAGAAAGTGCTATGGTTTTATTTTATGCTTCAGAAAGTGCAATGATATGTAAATAACTTTGTCTTTCATTTCAATCAATTACTCTCTAACTCTTTTTATTGCTGTATTATATTCTCATTATATCTTGGTTGTTTTCCTCATTTCCTTCCATTTCTCTCATTATATTTTTAATAACATCTATTATTCCTCTAGCAGATTTTCCTTTAGTCTTTATGACTGTTATTAGTTTTGTTAATATTTCCTTTTGTTTCTTTTTCCTTCTTTTTCATTTATTTTTTTAATTTCTAATTTTTTCTCTAATTTTATTTATCCATTTTTGTCCATTCTGGTTTTACGTTTTAAATATTTAATTTAGACTTTTTGAGTTTTTTTTTTTAAATCTCAAATACTTGTTACAGGTAATTTAAGTTTGAAGAGTTATTACAACTTACTTTTCCGTTAGCATTTTTTTCTCAGGGTAGGTAAGGATTCAAGGAAGTTTTATCAGCTGTACTAGGTGGTTATCATTTTCACTCTTCTTTTTATAATCATTTTGTACTTACGCCAACTACATTTCTGAGAACATGGCTGGTGATTGGATGTTAAATACAAGATTTCAAATTCAAAAATACTCTCTTTTTCAGTGAAGAAAGTATGATTCATTTACTGAATATCTTTTTGGGGAAAGGCGTCAATTCTTTGATATATTTTGTCATAAAGGATTTAAAATCTCCCCTCTGCCTCTTTTGTTTTCATCATACAGTTTCCAATGTTTGCTTTTTCTTTCCCCTTAATCTTCTCTTCCACTGGAAGCATTACCTTTCCAAAGCTACCACCTTGTGTCCGGTTCCATTGTTAACTGTTTTCCTTGTAGTTCATTCGCTGATGTACCAGTATACCTTCTCAGTAGGTTTGCATTTTGCATGAGTGTTGCTAGCTGTGGTCTTCAATTAATTTTAGGATTTCAGCTAATTCCCTTTTTCTCCTTCATGCATAATATTTTTTGTTTGTTTTTATTTTGTTTTACAAAATGCATTCCCTGCTTGAGAAGTTTTAGGGTAGGGGAATGAAGTAGAATATTCTTCATTGAAATTTGGTACTCCTTTTTCTACTTCCAAGTAATTATAACTCTGAATGTTTTCTTTTTTGTTTTGCTCAGAGCATGAATTTATTTATTCATTTATTTACCTACTTATTTATTTTTATTTTATAGTTTTTCTTGGTCTTTGCTGTATGTTTTTAAAATATAGTATGTTATATGATATATATACAATATAATATATGACTCTATCACTAATATTTTAGATCAATGTTGTATAACACATGTATATTTGTATGTATAAATGTATATGTACTCATATATGCAAGATGTGTATTTATCTAGGCTTCTTATTAAGTGTGCTATTTTAATAAAAGTCTTTGAATTATTATATACTTAAACACACTATAATTTTTCATAGAGATCATTCTTCATTATAATTATTTTTCAAAAAGTTCTTAGGATTTTCCAGGTTATTATCAGGATAAATTTAGAATCATTTTACCAGTTCAATGTTTTTTTTTTTACCAGTTCAATTTTTATAAAATTAAAACAAAAATTAATTTTTAAAATAAAATGTATATCATTTTGATATTGAATGTTTTATTTGTAGGATATTTTTAGTCCTTATTTAAAATTGCTTACATATGCAAGATTCTATGTAAATAGCCAACTAGTTTTCTCTGATTGCATAATTACGTAGATCATTTCTAACTGTTATATTTGTTTCCAAATGTTTGTTGCTTGTATAATTTTTGTTTCTTGCTCATGTCTTCCAGAACCTTTCACTTCATAGTACATAGTATATGTAGTAAATAGTTTATATTCCGTTACTGTTATATCTAATGTCTGAATTCAATGCTGATCTGATTCTGATATCCGCTTTCTTCTGGAGAATCTCTATAATCATTTATTGTTCTGAAATCATATAAAAGATTATAAATCTTTATAATCATTTAATCTGAGCCAATGCTCATGATATTTTTCTATAGTAATTATTTAAGGCCTAAATAGAAGCTATGCTCCTCAGAGAGGATTTGCATTTGCTTTTTCAAATCACTGGAGGAATTATTTATATCAGACTACTACAGTTTAATGCCACGCTTTAAACCACACTGGTCATGTGAATATTCTATTTAATTTTACATGATGCTTAAACTGTGCTTTTGAATATTCAAGGTATGTGTGTGTGCGCATGTGTATGTGTATATGTGTGTGTTTACATTAGCCACAAATTAAAGACAGATAAATTTTCTTGCTGACCACTTCTGTGCAATAGGATTATATTTTGCTGTTCACCTTTTCCCTGAGGGTGTTCTCATTTAAAGTCAGCTTAATGGAATAAGTGTTTAACTGGATTTCTCATCATTGGAGAAGAACCTTAAACTTTAACTCCCATGTCTACACCTATCTAGTCATCTAAAAAATGGTTCAAGTTAACCAGTTTTTCCTGGTTGCCTTAAGTGTAAAGATGTTTAGGGTACTTGCTTACTTAAAAGAATTCCTACTTTCACTTGATTTGGGCTCTGGGATTCTATATTCCTATGTGAATGATTAACTTAAGTAATTTTATTACTTATTTCCAATTTTTAGCTTATTTTTTCCTCAATGAAAAAATGTAAATCAGTCAACAATGATGCTAGATATGGGAATCCCAGCATCCCTTTAAGTGATTTTGTGAATCTGGTAATTAGTAATTTTAATAAGTAATATTTTTTGCTGGACTGCATATAGATTTTCATTTTATTTATTTTTTGATATGTCTTAGACTTCTATATAGAAACAGTGCTTGCAAATGGACAAAGTGTATGGCTATTCTTAATTTTGGATAATACTTACACTCTCAAAATCTAGTAAGCATTTAGCTGTAGTTTATTGGGTTTAGGAATTTATTTTTCCACTTGTTTGTTTACTACTTAATGTAAGATAAAACACGTTCATCCTATATGCATTGATACCTTTATTTTACAATGGAAATAGAATATACAGGAATTTTAAGAGTTTGATGGGTTTTTATTATGAATAAATCCATCTATGTAGCAATTAGATATTTGTACAATCTGGCTTCTTTTCTCTCTGGGAGGAGAGGTAGTCAATGGGAGCCTACATAAAAACGAATACCATGTTGAACAATTAGTTCAGGATTTGTTTCATTTTAGATAGCCAAATATGTTGCTGTTGTTGTTTGTTTTAAAGTTGGCTCTATATTTATTATTACAAATAGGTTTATATTATAAATAATTTTTGTGTTTTACAATGAGTTTTCCTGTTTTTGTTTTCTTCATTGGAACTTCAGTGGAAAAGTGTTAAAGACTAAATCATATACCCATTGCTAAGTTATATTAGAGGTTGCAATTATATATTTCAGTAGTTGGCAAAGTTATCACTCTTCTGTTTGTTTCTCCATTGAATATGATATGTTTTACAATAGAAATTATTACAAAAGAGCCCAGGAAAGAACTTAGAAATCTTTCCAGTTTTCTTTTCTTTAATCTTACACTGTCTTGCTTAGTTCCCTAGCTTTTCTCTTTCAATTTTTTTCTGCCCTAAGTTTCAAAACATTTATTGTATTCTAATATTTGAAGCTTGGGGAGTATTTTTTTAAATATCATCAAAATAAGCACACTTTGTCATTTAGATATTTCCAAGGATGAGGGATGAGAATAAACTCAGAAGACACTTATCTGAATAAGTGTTGTATTAAAGCAAGTTTGAATGTTCTGTTGCCCTTCCACAGAAGGTGCATTAGTCACAGACCTCTGATGAATCAGAGTCCCATTTGATCTGCAAGATATTAGCAAAGGCACAGGGTAAGAGTGCATTTGAACAAACATGTAATTGTCAAGTGTCCATTCTGGTGGTTACAACAGATTGACATGAGGTTCGTTGAGATTCTGCTCTGCTTGCCTTTTGTAAATGTAAAATACTTCGGGTTGTAGCAAATGTCTATTGCATAAATAAACTGATAGATGAGGGCAGAAGGTTATTGACAGATGAGTATAGTTATTCTGTGGCCTCTTAGAAGTAACTATTGTGTTATAAAGATGATGCTTGGAGTAGTCTAGTCATGTTTATTTCAAAGGTGATATATATATGGTCAAAACTACTTTAACTGAGATCATGGAAAGAATAATAATCGAAATTACTTAAGCATCATAATAAATTAAAGTATCGTTATTGGAGCTATTGCTATCTGTATACTTGGAATCTTCTAACATAATTAGATGATCCTTGTACTCAAATATGAAATTATCCTATAGATGGGAAAATGTTATAAGATATATTTACCTTGCCCAAAATTTCTTATTGGAAATTATCTTCTATTTTTTCTTCCTTCTCCTTTGTCTTTATCTTAAACCACTATAAACAATCAAAACTAAACAAAAAAGTCAAAACTCACCGTCCAGCAATGCATTATCTATATACTGGTTTTATGGGTGTAGTTGTTATTGTTTTTATCATTAGCTTCCGTAGGCCCCATGCAACTCAAATCCACGAGATACAGGAACTTTACTCCAAACCACTTTCCCTTTCTTTTCTCATGGCACCATATTTTATTCTTATTACCTCAATTCATTTGGCATACTCACTACCACATATATGTATTTTTTGATGAAAGAGTAGAACTTTATTCATTATTTATTCTAAGAAACATTTATGAAATACCTAGTATGTTTCAGGTGTTTAATTTAATCTAATACAAGTTAGATGTAGAGTTAGATATAGGAAAGCTAAAATGCATCCACTTATAAAACACTGAACAATGAACACTTTCCCTAGAAGAGAGAAGCAAATTGTCTCTTCCATCTGGCTCAACTGGACTCAGTTGAATAAGTCCATTTTATATTTCTTCCATGTTGCTATTTGTACTATCAAATCCAGACATTGGTTTCTTACCCAAACCCTCTTTAGAGGCCAATTACCCATATTCCCTGACGAAGGAGTTGACCAAGTAGTACTGGATTTTTGTAGATTATCTTATTACCCTAACCACAAATGATTGTTCCATTGCTAAGATATACCACCAAGGAAGGACCAAATATGAAACACATTATTTCTTCTGTAAATTTGGTGTGAATGTGGAAACTAAGTCCATTCAATTACACTGGGGATTTGAGCTTTAATATTAGCGAGGCTGTGTTGGCTTGTATTAGTTCATATGCAATCCAAAATGACAGACTTCAAGAGATAGAAAAGAAATATTGAAAGATTAATCACATGAATCATAAGAAAAATGGAGATGGAAACTGATTATATGAACATATTCTAGTTTTTCTGAAATCTAATTCCTTATCTTTTTATATGAGAAATTTTAGCACATTTCTATTTCAAGCAGTTCAAAATTCACTCAGTAAACCTTGTCATGGCTATACTTACTAGCACTTCATCTTGTATTTTCTGTTTACATTCTTTACCACTTAAAAAGATAATTATTATTATTTTTATTTTCTTTGCACAGTTGTTTCAGTGGTGTTGCTTTAAATGAAATGTGTTCACTTTTTTCCCTGTAAATGTGAGTTTCACAAGAACAAGATTATCTCATTTACTATTTACTTTTTAATTATATCACTATAGAATAGCATTCTTTACACACATGTGCATGCACACACGTGCACACATACACACGTATAATAAAGGATTGGCCAAACATGAGTGTTTTAAAGAGGAAATGAAAAAGCTTTCCTTTAGGGCTGCTGCTTGCAAATATGTTGCCATATCTAAGGATTTGTTTGAAAGCACTATTTTAAATTTAATCTGTTACCGTGCTAAGAAGGGAGTATTTTTACTCTTAACCATATGCCTGAAACACATCAAAAGATGCAGCCTCATAGAAACGAAACACCTATTTTCACCCAAAGGTATTAAAAATATGTTAAGCCATATGTGAAGAGCACAGTTTGTGGTTAACTATGTATTTTTCTTGCTGATGATAGTATGCATCCTCCTAGGACATGACTCCTTTTGCAAAAGACACTTAAATTGAGATTACAGAATCACAAATGTGCAGGTAGCACTTAGTGAGAGAAAAACTGACTCATACTTTTCATATTTCTCTCTAAGGAGGCATCCCCACAATGGAACAGGACAAGCATATAATAGAATAGCACATCAGGTGAGTCACTAGCTTGAATGCTATTTTGCATTCTGAAATCTCATTTTGACTTGACTGTCCTTACAATTTGTTAGATGAACTATAATAAAGCCCCAAAATGGCATATGTCACCTTTGATGCATGCTGCATTTTACATAATGTAGAAATAACTTATGATCCTACAGGGTAATAGATAGCTCAGCAGAAGAAATTATGATATGCATGAAGCTCCTGAAATGAAGTTGTCTATCTTCCTGTTAGGAAGTGTTGAGTCAGACATCCACTTCTCAAATAGTACTCAGGGAAATGTCAAACGGCACAATGTTAAATTAACAGTTTTGTATTAACTAAAACTAACTGAGAAACCAAAGTGAAAATAACAAATTTTGGCTTCAAGTAATTTTGTGAAAGAATGAAAATAATCACCTTTGTGTGGTGCAGTTTTGTATTTTAGTATCCAAAAGAGAAAGATGTATGATTTTCAATATTTCATTATTGAAAAAAGTAAACAGCTAAATGTAAACTAGAATTTTAAAGAAAATATGTATAGACCTTAAAAATAAATGGTAAGATATTAAGATGACTTGCCATGATGTAAAATTTGAAAAGTATATATTTTATTTTTTCTGTAGTTTTTTTTCAAAAACATCAACATTTTAAAACATGGATTTTTCAGTACAAAGATAAATATATATTTACCCCAAACTCATGATTGAGAACAAAATGACTGTGATAATAATCTGTAAATTAGAATCACAGAAACATGATCCTTTATTCCTTTTAATAACTATCAAGTTTCCACAGTTTTTAAGATAATTATCCTCAAAATTTAATTTCTGAAAATGTTAGTAAGACGAATACTTGGTATAAATGCAAATATCTGCACTCCTATTCCAGAGGTCAGTGTATTTTTTCCTAGAGGGTTCATGTAAAATCCATTTACCTTTTTTATTTCTAGATTTCATAGTGAATTTCTATAATTTTATGTTTACTCAGCATCTGCCTTGAATGTAAGTTAGACTTTCTCATGGCAGAAGCAAGGCTTGCCTCCTCTCTTTGTATCACCTGAATAACACGCCTAAGATATTTTCTGGTCAAGGAACCTCTAGAGAATAACTGTCTTGGTAAGAATAAACTACACAGTTCACACAGGGCCTGCCATTATAAACAACTTTTCTGTGAGAGGCACACCTGGTTAGGGGTCGGGATGAGACACTTAGGCATTAGATTGTCCACCACATCCGTGACCAAATTCCTGAAGTCCAGTCAGGGGCGGGATATAATATATAGTTACTCTTATGAGAGAGACCTCAACTCTAAAAGAAATAATAATAATATTAATAACCTTTTATATTACTGCAAAAGTATAGTAGCCTCAGGATATCTCATCTGCAAAAGTCAGAGATGAGATTCACCAGCTCTAAAGCACGAGCTTTAGAACCTCAAGGATATCTTAGAATTTTCTAGAAACCACTCAGCTCTGGAAATGAATTTAGAAATAATTTTGCTGCAGTACTTACCATATAATATAACAAATGAACAGTGACAATTCTCATGTTTTAATTGTCAAACAGAAGAATTAATTTTAGAACTTGATAGGCCTTTTGAAATAACTCAGAAAAAAAAGAAAAGAATGAAATCCTGTGTGATATATGGGACTCCATAAAGTGACCCAGAGAGAGAAGAAATTGGCATAGATATAGAAAACCTATTTAGCACCATAATAGCTAAAACATGTCCAAGTCCTGCAAAAGATATAGACATCCAGATACAGGAAGCTCTAAGATCACCAAAATAGTACAACTCAAAATGTCTTCTCCAAGGCACATCATAGTCAAACTGCCAAAAGTCAAAAATCACAGATAATTCAGTTTAAGAATGGGAAAAAAATTGGAATAGACGTTTCTCAAAAAAAAAAAAGAAAGAAAGACATACAAATTACAAACAGGTATCTTAAAAAATGCTCAACATGCCTAATCACCAGGGAAATGAAAATCAAAACCGCAATGTAATATCCTCTTAACCAGTTAGTGTGGTTATTACCAAAAAGACAAAAGACAGCAAATGCTGGCAAGGATGTACAGAAAAAGGAAATCTTATATACTGCTGGTGGGAATATAAATTTAGTACAACCATTAAGAAAAACTATATGAAGGTTTCTCAAAAAACTAAAAACTATCATACAATTCAGCAATTCCTCTAGAGGTAATTTATTCAAAGGAAAGTAGATCAATATATTAAAGAAATACCTGTACCACCATGTTTGTTGAAGTGCTATTCATTCACAACAGACAAAATGTGCAATTAACCTATTTCTCAATCACTAGATGTATGGATAAGAAAATGTATGTGTGTGTATATATGTATGTATATGTGTATATATGTATGTGTATATGTGTATATGTATGTATATGTGTATATATGTGTACATATATATACACACACACACATACATTTTCTTATCCATACATCTAGTGATTGAGAAATAGGTTAATTCCACATTTTGGCTATTGTGAATGAATAGCACTTCAATAAACATGTATATATATATATGTATATATATACACACACACACATACACACACACAATATATATATATAATGCTTTCCAGCCATAAAAACACTAAATTCCTATCATTTGCAACATGAATGGCACTGAAGGTCATTATGTTAATTGAAATAAGCAAGGCACAGAAAGACAGGTATTATATGTGGGAGTTAACAACATTGATATGATGGAGGTAGAAAAGAGAGGGATATTAACAGTTACCAGACAGTGGGAAGAGTCAGCAGAGGCAGGGGTGAAGGGAGGTTGATCATTGAGTACAAATATCCAGTTAAATATGAGGAATAAATTCTAGTATCCAACAGCCCAGTAGAGTAACTACAGTTAACGACAATATGTTTTATATTTCATAATAGCTAGAAGAGAAGTTTTGGTATGTTTCCAATGCCAAGATGTCAAAGATTATTTGATCATTACACATTGTATATATGTAATCAAATATCATAAGATCCCCATAAATATGTACAATTATTATGTATCAATGGAAAGCTTTCAAAGGGAGATTTGTTGAGGTGTGTTTATTCTCAAATCCAATATAAAAGAAACTCCACTTCCAGAATTATTCTAGACATAAAAGGAATAATTGAGAAGGCTATAACATATTCTGGTATTAAAGAAGCAAGGTAAAGAGGAAGTCAGATCCCAGGCATGAGGTTGAAGCACTGGATGCACCATTGTTGATTTTGAAGACAGAGGAGCCATGTGTCAAGAAATGTTTGAGCATTTAGAGCTGAGAGAAGGCCCTGGTCACAAACAAAGAAATGAATTTTTCAGTCAGTGATCCCAAGGAATTGAATCTGACCAACAACCTCAATGAACTTGAAAAGAGATTCTTTTTCAGCTCCTTGGATAAGGCCCGAGGCACTGACACTTTGATTCAGGCCTTGTGTGATCCTAAGGGGAGAATCCAATAACTCCTCTCAGACTTCTGACCTATAGAACTGAAAGCTAATAAATAAATATTGTTTTAAACCTCAAAGTCAGTGGTAATTTTTTTACTGTAACTTAAAATTTAATATACTTTTATGACTACTCTTGGGCCGACTGAAGGCTATTGTCTCTATCACTGGACATCTGAAAACTAAACAACTTCTATTGTGAGGTAGTTATGAAAAACATCTTTTTTTTTTCCTTGATCTTTGAATACAATAAATGTTAAAATGCGGTCAGGATCTGGACTGCCATCTTAAAACTGCAACTAGAAAAATGAACACAGAATGATTACAATGTCCAGGATTTGGAGGATGTATTTAAAGAAGCAGAATATCTCCTTGTTAAGCTCATCTGATAGTGCCTGCAGCAGCAATCACTAAAGGAACCACCCACAATGGCACTAACAGTTTTACCTACTAGCTCTCAGTTTCACTCAACCCAAAGTAAAGGATTTTACTTGCCAGATTGAAAGAAGTAAAAGGTTTGAATGCAGAATACTACATTCAAAACTTTCACTTCTTCCCTATTTATAAATACCATAAATGTTTTATTTCTTCCTTGGTAGTAACAATCCAAATTAAAAGACTAGCAACCCACCTTCCCCGTTCTCCAAAAAGGGGAATAAAGAAGCATTGAAATGTTTTATAATTCTATTTATATTTTGTATATCAAATGAATGTATATTGCATAATAAATTATAATAATTTTATTACAACTTTCATTTAATTTTTAGGCTCTATATGAACCAAATGGATATAGCTGTTTATTTGACAATACAGAATGTAAAATAATAAACCATAAATGGTTAAAAGTCACAACAAAAACAACTAGCTTGACTTCCTCTATTAATCAGACAACAACAGCTAAACCAAAAAGATGTGCCCTTTCCAATTTAGGCAAGATGTTCTCTAGACAGTGAGAGTGACTTTGAAGCATAAAAAGTAGTTAACCTTCCTGGCATGATGCTGTAAAAGGTGTCTGCTTATATCTATCTGCTTCCAGAATCATTTGGATCAAAGAAAGGTGGCACTGGTCTGGTTTTCTCTTGTGATTCAGACTTCCATTTCAAGAGAAGTAGCAATGTGTTGCTTATTTTCAATCAATTAATCGTTTTTCCTGTTACCATAGAGTTGTGATCTTATTGTACTGTGAGGAAAGAAGCTTGAACAGTAGTTTCGGGACGATGCATCTTTTTAGGTCAAAGCAGCTACAGTCACATCTCTTCACTTTAGTAACACTTCCAGATTCTTCTTATTTTCTTTCATCACTAAAATGACAGCACTTCAAACATATTAGATAATGTTTGTTGTAGAAAATGTTTGTGTATGTTAAATGTGGAACTAATAGGACAGAGAAGGACCTATTGGTTGATTATCCGACCAAGGGCAAAAATAAAATTTAAGTAAGCACATTTGAGAACAATAGATAAAATACATAACTACATTTTTTTACTGATAATTTAGTACAGTATTAATATTAAATAGAATGGTGTGACGTCTGCAACAGACTGTATTCTCAGTAATAATATATATTAAAGAAACAGATACTTAACAATTGGCATGGCTCAGATAAGGGAGACACTAATTGCAAAAACTTGAAAATGTAGCTAAAATATTGTCTTAAATCGACTTCTTATTGATTGTCAAATGAGGTCCCTTCACCATGTTTGTCTCAGAGTGGAATAATTTGTTATATTCTTGCTTATGAGAACATTTTTAAAAAGTAGTAGCGGGAGAAAGCACTCTTGACATAAATGTTAGAGAGCAGTATGGAGAGAACAGAACACCAAAGAGAGGATATATGCTCTTATCAGCTGAAGTTTATGTGAACAGTGTTTGATTTGATATTTTATTTAAATCTAGCATGAGCTTTTAGCCACATTAGCAGTGACATGCTATAAAGATACAGAATTGTATACAGTAGTGAGATGGTGATCAAGGCAGACCCAAGGACTAGGTTGCAGAGGTGGAACATATGTCTGTTACAGTTCATAGCTAGCCAGCCATGAGCAGGGCAGGAAAGGGCCCCTCACCACCAGGAATGTCAGACAACCATCAGGTGATGGCCAGGTAGTTGTTAACTGTCCCTTTAAAATAACGATTGACCGCAGCCAATGCCAGGGAAAGGCAGTCTCCCTATAGATGGAAAAAAACTGAAACTGGTGATCAACAGCTTCCTGATAAGATCTCAGCAGTTGGGCAAGTGGGCTCATACATGCACACTAAGAGGCAAAAGGGTGGAGTTTAATTGTTATATGACCTTCTGGGGACATTCTACCAGTAAAGGGAAGAACGCCTCAAGTGAGCCTGTGTAGAACTCAAGTAAACACACTGCACATGCTCCTGTCCCAAGCTCCAGGAGGCCATTGTGCATGCGGACAGCCCACCCAAAGGAAGACTAAGGGGAGAAGGGATACAAGACCCTGGAAGTATACCAATGTATAAAACCCCAAAAGGTCAAACCGTGCCCTTGTCCTCCAAGATGTCCACCTGGCGCTTTTCCAAGTGTACTTTCCTTTCCTTTCATTCCTACTCTAAAGCTTTTTAATAAAATGTCACTCCTGCTCTAAAACTTGCCTTGGTCTCTTTTTCTGCTTTATGCGCATCAGCCAAATTCTTTCTTCTGAGGAGGCAAGAATTAAGGTTGCTGCAGATACATGTGGATTTGGGGCAGGTAACTCAGATACCTGCCGCAGCTAACATGGCAACAGAGCAGACAGTGAGGTTGAATGCAGTGGCTCACACCTGTAATCCCAGCACTTTGGGAGGCTGAGGCAGGTGGGTCACCTGAGGTCAGGAGTTTGAGACCATCCCAGCCAACATGGTGAAACCCCGTCTCTACTAAAAATACAAAAAATTACCCAGGTGTGGTGGGAGGAGCCTGTAATCTCAGCTACTGGGGAGGCTGAGGCAATAGAATTGTTTGAACCTGGGAGGTGGAGGTTGCAGTGAGCTGAAATCACACCACTGCACTCCAGCCTGGGCAAAAAGAGCTAAACTCCTCAAAAAAAAAAAACCCAGACATTGAGACAAAACAAGGTAATTAAGAGGAAACACAGACAATTAAAGAGATATGTTAATGGACTGTAGATCTAGGTACTCAGGACTTGTTTAGGAAAAGGCAGGTACCTACTTTCATGCGCGTCTGTGTGAAGAGACCACCAAACAGGCTTTGTGTGAGCAATAAAGCTTTTAATTACCTCGGTGCAGGTGGGCTGAGTCTGAAAAGAGAGTCAGCGAAGGGAGATAGGGGTGGGGCCGTTTTATAGGATTTGGGTAGGTAAAGGAAAAAGGGGGGTTGTTCTCTGGTAGGCAGGAGTCGGGGTCACAAGGTAACCAGTGGGGGAGCTTTTGAGCCAGGGGGAGCCAGGAAAAGGAATTTCACAAGACAATGTCATCAGTTAAGGCGGGGCAGGGCATATTCACTTCTTTTGTGATTCTTCAGTTACTTCAGGCCATCTGGGCGATATACCTGCAAGTCACAGGGGATGCGATGGCTTGGCTTGGGCTCAGAGGCCTGACACCTACTTCTAAGGCAAATAGCAAAGCTATACACAAGGCACTGTTTGTGACTTCCCTGATTTGTGAAAATCAAAATGTGTTGTAAAAATAATGTTGTAGTGCTGATAAGCTGACACTTTAATATACGATTGGTGAAAATATA
This sequence comes from Homo sapiens, assembly GCF_000001405.40. Classification (NCBI taxonomy): domain Eukaryota; kingdom Metazoa; phylum Chordata; class Mammalia; order Primates; family Hominidae; genus Homo; species Homo sapiens. The sequence continues at coordinate 132,495,158 of NC_000004.12, read as the reverse complement.
AACTTTAAGTCACTATGGATAGTAATTTAAATGTTTATCAAAGTATAATATACACACAGTTTTACATAGCAATATAGGTTCTAGGTAATTTTCCTATAGATGTACTTACATATATGCAGAAAACAAAAGTGCAAGTGTAATTATTAATTTGTTTATAATAGCTAAATATTTGATGCAATATAAATGTCAAACAATATATGGCACATCAAATGATGCTCACATATCACAGTATGATTTGCAGTAATTTTAGAGTGAGACAATTCTATGAGGACTTATAGAAAACTCCAAGATATATGATGAATTAAAAAAATAAACTGCAAAAAAGCTTTGAAAACTATGGTATAGTTTGCAAATCTTTGGCCCCTTCTAATTTTTCTTGTCTGTAATCGGTAGACAGTGAGAACAGTAGGCATATTCTAAATGAAGCCAAACAGACAGAAAAAAAGTAACTGGCTTCCTGATGAAACCATTAAACCTCTGTACTTGTTCCAAAATTCTTATTGGGTAGAAAATATAATTGTATTTGTATTTACACTTCCACCAACCAAAAATTTTTCTTTAATTGCTACTGGTGCATATATTTATTACATTTTTAATTGTTAGTAAGTCATTACATGTTCACCTCTTTGGAAAGTATACATTAACATACTGTTAGTATTTTATTATGCTTCCTTTAAGGAATATAATAGGAGTAATAATAATATATGCATATATTTCCTTGAGGATTATAATAGAAATCTATGTATAATAATAAATAAATACATAAATAATATTATTAGGCATAAATTTTCATTATATTCCTTAAAGAAAAAATATTTATATACCTTTAAAGGAACAAAATAGCTTGTTAACATTAGGGAAAAAAAGACAGAAAACTGCTTTATGAGTTGGCTTAAAATATTTTAAGTTTATAACATTTTATGTAATAGATTAAAGAGTTTATAAGATTTATAAATTGTTTAGGGACTGTGGTGACTACATACTCATTAAGATCAATATTCATGTCAATGGTTGATTGTAAAAGCAAAAATTGGCTTATATTTGACATTTTTATTTTAACAATGACATATAATACTAGTATAAACATTCTTGGTACATGACAATGAGAATTAGAAAAACTTATAATTATATAAATTTTTATGTTAGTAGTTTTGAAGGTTTTATTGGTGTTTCTAAATTGGTGATTAAAAACAATTTTGCTGAAAGTAGTCTGCTTGATTATCACATATAGTATGGAGCTCACAATTTGCTGGAAGAAAATAACTACTATGTCCTTAAAATCATGTTTTGGCTAAAATTTTTGTGAAAATCCTATATTTTACTTAGAAGTTTAACTATGGTATTTTTGTTTTAACAGTTAAGATATGCATATATTTAACTTCTGGTAGAACTATATGTCCCTATTGTATCTTCTTTATAGAATTAAATATAGAGCTGACACAAGGAGGTGCTATAGGGATTATGATACTACAAAAACATATATTTCAATTTTCCACATGTATTTTACTAATATAATGTTTGAGATTATGAAAGACAAATTTTACCACAGTAAGGCTCTAAGAAAATAAATCTTGACAATTGGTGCAGCTGCAGCATAATTTCCTTCTTAGCAGGAGGTTTGCTTGTCAGACAGGTAATCCCCTGGGTAATCAGAATTGCAAAAGGCATTGATGATCATTTAGATAAAATAGTATAATACCTGAAATAAACCTGGGTGAGAAGTCCAGCTTATTCAACAAAAAAGTCCTGGACTTGAATCAGAAAGAGATTTATTTAAAATCCTCCCACAAAGAAGAACTATTTCATCAATAGCCTGAGTGTAAAACATATTTAATCTACCTTTTGATATAATTCTGGTCTTGAAACATTAAAAACACATCAAAAGTAAAATGATCAAAGATTAAATCAATATAGTAATTATTCCTTAATAAATACATTTTAATATTAAGATGTAAACATCCGTTTTGAAGGCACGTCAAGATAATTTGGTTTAAATGTTTTAATTTGTATTATTCTCTTGCATATGTAGGTGGATATATTCAATACAAAAATATAACAAAAGTATGTGACTCAGTAAAGCAGTTTAAATAGTAATACTCGCTGGGTGCAGTGGCTCACCCCTGTAATCCCAGCACTTTGGGAGGCTAAGGCGGGTGGATCACGACGTCAGGAGATCGAGACCATCCTGGCTAATATGGTGAAATCCCATCTCTACTAAAAATAGAAAAAAATTAGCTGGGCATGGTGGTAGGCGCCTGTAATCCCAGCTACTCCGGAGGCTGAGGCAGGGGATTTGCTTGAACCCGGGAGGCAGAGGTTGCAGTAAGCCAAGATTGCACCATTGCCCTCCAGCCTGGGTGACAGAGCAAGACTCCATCTCAAAAAAAAAAAAAAAAAAAAAAGTAATACTAATACAATAATGACAATCATTAATTGTTACTATGTGCCAGTATGTGCCAGGTAGCTATTCTTACTGTTATATGTAACTCATCTGATCTTTCACAGCACTTTTAATATATCGGCATTATATTACCTACATTTTCAGGAACTTAGTCTTGTATAGATGATATACATTTTTAAAAAATCATACAGGTAGTAGGTAGCAGAGCTAAAATTCTAATCTAGGAGATTTGGCTTTAGAACCAGTGCTGTTAATCCCTAAGTTGTCAATCAATAAGTAAAATATATATGCCATTTTTCATTCGCGTCCGTGTGAAGAAACCACCAAACAGGCTTTGTGTGAGCAATAAAGCTTTTAATCACCTAGGTGCAGGTGGGCTGAGTCCGAAAAGAGAGTCAAGGGAAGGGAGACAGGGGTGGGGCCGTTTTATAGGATTTGGGAAGGTAATGGAAAATTACAGTCAAAGGGGGTTGTTCTCTGGTGGGCAGGGGCGGGGGTCACAAGGTGCTCAGTGGGGGAGCTTCTGAGCCAGGAGAAGGAAATTCACAGGGTTAATCCCTCAGTTAAGGTGGGGCAGGAACAAATCACAATGGTGGAATGTCATCAGTTAAGGCCGGGCAGGGCCTTTTCACTTCTTTTGTGATTCTTCAGTTACTTCAGGCCATCTGGTCGTATACATGCAAGTCACAGGGGATGCGATGGCTTGGCTTGGGCTCAGAGGCCTGACACCATTTATATTAATATAATAAATTACATTGTAAATTCCCAAACAGCTTCTGTTGCTTCAAGCAGCTTTAAGACAAGTATGAATTATATCTGTTTAGTAGAATCTAGACCCAAATATTTTCTTCCAGTGCTATAGTTTTCAAGAAAAATCAGTTTGATTTAAAAATAAAAAGAATAAAAATATCTTTTCACTTAAATTATTACAAAGTTCTTTGGATCATGGTTTCTTGTAACCATGAGTAAAATAATCTCATCTCCATTTCTTGAGCTACTAATTACATGCAGCACATTAAATCAAGTCTACTTAGGGAAAGACTACATAATAAATTAATTTAATTAACAGTAAGACAGAGGAGAACATATGGTTATCATATGATAATCACTCCTTTGGGATATCTCTCTGGCACAAAGTTTTCCATATTTGAGTGGTAAAAAATAGCCACTTTTTATTAGCTTTATTAAGATGCACCTAGATCAAATCCTAAACACAAAGCATGAGATAATGTATTTGCACTTAGAATCAAATAAATTTTTATAGACCTAAAAAAACCTCTAAGTTTTAATTATTTTTGTATTTGTAAGTAAGGATTCATGATAAATACGGTTTATTTTCTGTCCTGGTGATTTGCTTCCAGGAAACATTTGTATAAGGTTGAATATGCATCTTATAACTACTCAAGTTCCAGCTTGAAGTTAATATTACCTGGAATGGATATTAGGGTCTGGAACAAAATACTGAGGTTTCATTTCTGTAAAGTTGCTACAAATCCAACTAAATAAGGTATTACTTGGACAATGGATGCCATAATACCTGACCTGCTTTAATTAGAGATTGGGTGGTATACTAGGGGTATATATCTGTTGGAACATATACAGAGCTAAATTAATTAATTTTTACTGTGGCAAAGTATACATTTCATAACGTTTACCATACTAACCCTGTTTAACTGTATAGTTCTGTGTACAGTTCTTAAGTGTACTCAGTGTCTTGAAAACATTGGCACTACCCATCTGTAGAACTTTTTCATATTTCCAAATTAAAATTTTGTATCCATGAAATAAAAATTTTCTCTTTCTACCCCTTGTCTCTGACAACCAACATTTGACTTTCTGTCTCTATGAATTTAACTACCCAAGATGTCTCACATAAATGGAATTATACAGCATTCGTCCTTGTGTGACTAGTTTATTTGACTTTGCATAATGTCTTCAGTTTCATTCATGTTGTAGCACATGTCAAAACTTCCTTCCTTTTTAAGGTAAATAACATTCCATTGTATGATTATTTCATGTTTTGTTCATCCATCCGTCTGTTCATAGACACTGAGGTTGCTTCCCTATTTTGACTATCGTGAATAATGCTAACATGCATATGGGTGTACAAATATGTGTTTCTCTGCTTTGAATGCTTTTAATTGCACCTCATGAATTGGAACTGTTGGATTATATGGTAATTCTGTTTTAATTTTCTTCATAGAACAGTCATACTGTTTTCCACAGCAGCTATACTATTTTACATTTCTACCAGCAATGCACAAGGGTTTCAGTTAATCTATATTCTCCTCTACCCCTCATATATTCTTTTTTGATTTTTAGTAACAGCCATCCTAACAGGTGTGAAGTGGCATCGCATCATGGTTTTGATTTGAATTTCCCTAATAATTGGTGAAACTGAACATCTTTTTATGTGCTTATTGGCCATTTGTGTATCTTTTTGGAAAAATGTATATTCAAGTTATTTGCTAATTTTAAAATTAAGTCATTTGTTTTTCTTATTTTGTTGTAAGACTTGGTTACATAATCTGGAAATTAGCTCCTTGTCAGATATATAATTTGCAAATATTTTCTCTTATTCTATGGATTGTCTTTTTATTTTATTCATAATGTCCTTTGATACACAAGATTTTTAATTTTGGTATAGCTAAATTTATCTATTTTTTTGTTACCTGTGCTTTGCTGTCATATCTAAAAAATTACTGCTACACTCAATGTCATGAAGCTTCTCCATTTTTCTTAGTCTCATGGTTTTAGCTCTTACAATTTGGTCTTTGATTTATTTTTACTCTAAGGTGTACTGTGAAGATCCAACTTTTATTTAAGGAGGGGGGGGATGTTGTAGACATTTCGTTTCCCTGCACCATTTGTTGAAAAGAGTGTTCTTATCTCATTAAATCAGCCTGGCACCCTTAAAAAAACATTTGAGCTGGGCACAGTAGCTCACACCTGTAATCCCAGTACTTTGGGAGGCCGAGGTGGGTGGATCACCTGAGGTCAGGGGTTTGAAACCAACCTGACCAACATGGTGACACCCCCTCTCTACTAAAAATACAAAAATTAGCTGGGCATGGTTGTTGGTGCCTGTAAACCCAGCTACTTGAAAGGCTGTGGCATGAGAATCACTTGAACCCATAAGGTGGAGGTTGCAGTGAGCCAAGATCGCACCACTGCACTCCACCTTGGGCAACAGAGTGAGACTCCATCTCAAGAAAAAAAAAAAAAAAGTCATTTGACCATATATACAAGTGTTTATTTCTGGAATCTCTGCTCTATTTCAGTGGTCTACATGTGTGTCTTCATACCAGTACCACATTGTTTTGATAATTGTAGCTTTGAGGTAAGTTTTGAAATCAGGTAGGATGAGAACTTGGAATTTATTCTCTTTCCTCAAGATTGCTCTGGCTGTTTTGGGTTTCTTGAGATTCCATATGAATCTTAGAATGGATTTTTGTCTTTCTGCAAAAAACATCATTGGGATTTTGATCAAGATTGCACTGAATTTGTAGCTCACTTTGTGCAGTATTGACTTTTTAACAGATTATTTTGTTTTATTTTACTTTTATTTAATTTTTGTATGTGTTCTATTATTGACATCTTAACAACATTAATTCCTCCAACTCATAAACACAGCATATCTTTTTCTTTATTCATGTCTTTAAAATGTTTCAGCAACATTTTATAGTTTTTTAGTATAAGATTTGCCTCCTTGGCTAAACTTATTTCTAAGGTTGTTTTTTTAGATGCTGTTGTGAATGGGATTTTTTCTTTAATTTTCTTCTCAGATTGTTCATTGTTAGTATAGAGAAATGCAACTTCAACTTTTTTTTGAGAGTTGATTTTATATCTTGCAACTTTCCTGAATATTTTTATTAGTCCTAACAGGCTGTCTGTGTGTGTTTACGTGAGTGTGTGTGTCTACTCTTTTGCATATTCTACACGTAAGACCATACCATTTGTGAAAAAGCCTTCTTTCTTTTCACTTTCAATGCATATTATTTCTTTTTCTTGCCTTATTGCTCTGGCTAGCATTTCCAGTCCTATGTTAAATAGAAATGAGAGATGTGGAAATCTTTGTCTTGCTCTTGATCCCAGAGCAAAAGCTTTCAGTCTTTTCCCATCGAGTTTGATGTTAGCTGTGTGTTTTTCATATATAGCCTTTATTATGTTGAAGTTGTTTCCTTCTATTTGTAGTTTGTAAAGTAATTTTTAATCATGAAAGGGTATTAAGGTTTGTCAAATTCTTTTTCTGGATCAATTGAGGTGACTATGTTTTCTTTTTCTTCACTCTGTTGATAATTGCATAATAAAACAGGCAAGTTTTATATATTGAAAGTATTATTAAAGGGGCATTTTATTTGATTTTGCCAAATTAAAAAAATAAGATAAGTTGCATTTAACTGAATAATATGTTAATGACTAAAGTAAATCTAAAATCCTCATTTGCCTGTTCTTTTTTTTTTTAAAAAGAAAGAAATACCCTTTCTGACTTTCTGAGATTATTACTATCCAGTTTAAGTAATTTGACTGATAATTATTGACAATAATCCACAATTAGCTACAAAATAAAGCCAAGTTTTCTTTGAATAGAACTCAAATAGCTTATCGAAACCTTTATCAATGTTAACATCTTTTTTATTTGAATACACATTCCAATCTTCCCACTTGTCAAAGTCTTCCAATTTATCCTTCAAAATATCGTTTCAATATTACATCTTCTAAGTTGCATCAATATATTTTACATCACTGTATCATTAAATATTGCTCTTTAATATAACTTTTTTCTCTTTCATAACAAACTGACAATTTTAAGAGCATTTTTGCATCTGAGAAAACTGGAATAAATGAGTTCTCAATATCTGTTTGCTGATGTAAGTGAGTAATAACTAATGAATTATTATTTCTAAACCTTAATATTCCCATTTTATTAAATTTAAATTTCCATTTGGGCTCTTTCTTTTATCTTATATATCATGTTCCTATTATTGTCCTCTATATTGAAAGCATCCTATGTATGAAAGTAGGGTCTTAACTTTATATCTACATCATCTAACACCCACATTTACTGAATTATAGATATTTATAATTTTCAGTTTATTCTTTAGTTATAAACCGTTTATTCGTCTAACCATAGTTAATTAAGACAATTAAAGCATAAGATGTTTTAAAATACATTTTGAATATAAATTAATTTAATAAGCATTATTTATTTATTTATTTATTTATTGCGACACAGTCTCACTCTGTCACTCAGGCTGAGCACAGTGGTGCAATTGCAGCTCACTGAAACCTCTCTCTCCTGTGTTAAAAGGATTCTCCCTCTTCAGCCTCCTGAATAGCTGTGACTATAGGCACATGCCATTATGCCCAACTAATTTCGATTTTTCATAGAGATGGGGATCTCACTATGCTTCCCAGGCTGGTCTTAAACTCCTGGACTCAAGCAATCCTCCTGCCTCAGTTTCCCAAAGTGTTGAGATTTACAGACATGAGCCACCCTGCCCAGCCATTATTTAAACTTTTTGAAACAATAGCAGGTATAAAAGACCTGGCTTTTTAGTCAAAAGTGGCTTTAGTATTCAGCAATAGAATACAATGGAGATTACTAGAAAGAACACAATGTATCTGAAGCTGTATATTGAAACTCAGATAACTTACTACTGAGTTTTGTGTGAAGATTCAATTTGATAATATTATTGGAACACTTTGAATTTAGGTTCAAACAGTTTCATTTGCAGTGTAACTGAAGTCTTCTCAATATGCATTTATACATAATAATAGATTTATTTATCCTCATGTATGTTTTACTGTGAAAGGACTTTAAATATGTATATTATAATCTAATCTAATTCAATAGTTCAAATCAATAAATAATTTATAATTGACATGTTAGTTTTTAGGGCAACAGTGAATTATCTGCAAGTTTTAATATTTAAATTTTCTGTTGATTTCTCTTCATAATTCCATAAATTCTGCTAGTATTCTTTACTTTGAAGAGTTACTTGATTAACCTAAATAGTATCACTTCAATTTAAGTGTATCCATCTGAAATTACAATTCAGAAACCAAATGTAATTTCTTATAATATTGTTAAAATGTATTTGTAGCCTGTGCTATGACCATAGCAGAAACTCAATCAAAATCTATTAAATGAATGATGGACTAAATGAATGAACCTGAAATGAAACTGCAATGATTTGAATATGCCCTTTCCAGAATTCTGGCATTGCCAATGTGACAGTATTAAGAGGTAGGACCTTTAAGAGATAATTAGTCCACCAGGGCCCCTGCGTTGTGAGTGGGATTAAGACCGTGCATAAAGAGGGTCTTAGGCTGGCTTGCCCTTCCACTTTCTATCACGTGAGAATGAAGCAAGAAGCTCCTCCTCAGGTACTCAATGCTGGTGAATTTGTTACCAGTGGAAGGTCTTGACTATGAGTTGTCCTGGTCCCTGGCGTTTTGAACAAATAATTAAACAAAATGTATAAAGTAGCAGAGGAATAAAATGCAGAGATGAAGCAGCGAAAGTAGAAATTTATTAAAGTGAGAAAGCACTCAGCAGAGTGGGAGTGGGCTGAGAAAGCAGCTCAAGGGCCTGGTTACAAAGTTTTCTGGGTTTTAAGAACTCTGTTTGAGGTTCTTTTTTTTTTTTTATACTTTAAGTTTTAGGGTACATGTGCACATTGTGCAGGTTAGTTACATATGTATACATGTGCCATGCTGGTGCGCTGCACCCACTAACTCATCATCTAGCATTAGGTATATCTCCCGATGCTATCCCTCCCCCCTCCCCCCACCCCACAACAGTCCCCAGAGTGTGATAGTCCCCTTCCTATGTCCATGTGTTCTCATTGTTCAGTTCCCAGCTATGAGTGAGAATATGTGGTGTTTGGTTTTTTGTTCTTGTGATAGTTTACTGAGAATGATGATTTCCAATTTCATCCATGTCCCTACAAAGGACATGAACTCATCATTTCTTATGGCTGCATAGTATTCCATGGTGTATATGTGCCACATTTTCTTAATCCAGTCTATCATTGATGGACATTTGGGTTGGTTCCAAGTCTTTGCTATTGTGAATAATGCTGCAATAAACATACGTGTGCATGTGTCTTTATAGCAGCATGATTTAGAGTCCTTTGGGTATATACCCAGTAATGGGATGGCTGGGTCAAATGGTATTTCTAGTTCTAGATCCCTGAGGAATCGCCACACTGACTTCCACAATGGTTGAACCAGTTTACAGTCCCACCAACAGTGTAAAAGTGTTCCTATTTCTCCACATCCTCTCCAGCACCTGTTGTTTCCTGACTTTTTAATGATTGCCATTCTAACTGGTGTGAGATAGTATCTCATTGTGGTTTTGATTTGCATTTCTCTGATGGCCAGTGATGATGAGCATTTTTTCATGTGTTTTCTGGCTGCATAAATGTCTTCTTTTGAGAAGCGTCTGTTCATGTCCTTCGCCCACTTTTTGATGGGGTTGTTTGTTTTTTTCTTGTAAATTTGTTTGAGTTCATTGTAGATTCTGGATATTAGCCCTTTGTCAGATGAGTAGGTTGGGAAAATTTTCTCCCATTTTGTAGGTTGCCTGTTCACTCTGATGGTAGTTTCTTCTGCTGTGCAGAAGCTCTTTAGTTTAATTAGATCCCATTTGTCAATTTTATCTTTTGTTGCCATTGCTTTTGGTGTTTTAGACATGAAGTCCTTGCCCATGCCTATGTCCTGAATGGTAATGCCTAGGTTTTCTTCTAGGGTTTTTATGGTTTTAGGTCTAACGTTTAAGTCTTTAATCCATCTTGAATTGATTTTTGTATAAGGTGTAAGGAAGGGATCCAGTTTCAGCTTTCTACATATGGCTAGCCAGTTTTCCCAGCACCATTTATTAAATAGGGAATCCTTTCCCCATTTCTTGTTTTTGTCAGGTTTGTCAAAGATCAGATAGTTGTAGATATGTGGCGTTATTTCTGAGGGCTCTGTTCTGTTCCATTGATCTATATCTCTGTTTTGGTACCAGTACCATGCTGTTTTGGTTACTGTAGCCTTGTAGTATAGTTTGAAGTCAGGTAGTGTGATGCCTCTAGCTTTGTTCTTTTGGCTTAGGATTGACTTGGCGATGTGGGCTCTTTTTTGGTTCCATATGAACTTTAAAGTAGTTTTATCCAATTCTGTGAAGAAAGTCATTGGTAGCTTGATGGGGATGGCATTGAATCTGTAAATTACCTTGGGCAGTATGGCCATTTTCACGATATTGATTCTTCCTACCCATGAGCATGGAATGTTCTTCCATTTGTTTGTATCCTCTTTTATTTTGTTGAGCAGTGGTTTGTAGTTGTCCTTGAAGAGGTCCTTCACATCCCTTGTAAGTTGGATTCCTAGGTATTTTATTCTCTTTGAAGCAATTGTGAATGGGAGTTCACTCATGATTTGGCTCTCTGTTTGTCTGTTGTTGGTGTATAAGAATGCTTGTGATTTTTGTACATTGATTTTGTATCCTGAGACTTTGCTGAAGTTGCTTATCAGCTTAAGGAGATTAGGTATTGATGGGACGTATTTCAAAATAATAAGAGCTATCTATGACAAACCACAGCCAATATCATACTGAATGGGCAAAAATTGGAAGCATTCCCTTTGAAAACTGGCACAAGACAGGGATGCCCTCTCTCACCACTCCTATTCAACATAGTGTTGGAAGTTCTGGCCAGGGCAATTAGGCAGGAGAAGGAAATAAAGGGTATTCAATTAGGAAAAGGGAAGTCAAATTGTCCCTGTTTGCAGACGACATGATTGTATATCTAGAAAACCCCATTGTCTCAGCTGTTTGAGGTTCTTATCTGGATAAAGGATTTGGTCTGTGGCTAATTAAAGGCTGGGTTTGGCTCTCTAAACGGACGGTCCCTGCTTGGCCCCTGGCAAATCCAAGGCACTCTCCCTTTCCATCTGAGACACGGTAGACACGAGAGGGTTATAGGGAAAGTGGCCTTTGATCCATTGTTACTTGGCATGGGGAGATGGGGTTTTTCCTTTTGTTTTAGCTTTAGGAAGTTTGCTTTAATTGGCCTTAGGTTCTCTGCCCTCAGCCCCATGTGTTTTCCTTTTGAACCAGCTTTGGGAAGTCAGCATGAATTGGCCTGCCCCCAGATTCCCTGCCCCCAGAACTTCGTGTTTTCCCTTGATTCAGAACAAATGGGCCTTATGTTCCCTGCCTGCAGACCCTACTTTTCTGCCTCAAATTGATCTTGAATTTCCCAGCCCCTCAGTTTGGAATAAATACATTTCTGTTCTTTATTAATTACCCAGTTTGTAGTATTTTTTTATAGCAGCATAAAATGGACTAAAACAGGAACATGGCTACATTTTAGGAGTATTCATTATACTTACTTGGTAAACAAAAACAATAGAATCCGTAGTTAGATCTGTGATATTTAAACAAGTCACATCTAATTTTCCCTTTTTTTCATATCAGGAATTGACGCCTGGAGACATGAAGTGATGTGCCCTGATCATAGTGAGGCCATGAAATCAGATATTAAAGCCAGGGTTTATTGAATGTGAATCCAAGGATTAAATGCTCTTTTCTGTCCACCTGCAGCTCCATGTTAGGGAAACTCTATTCCTGTTAAGTACTCTAGGTTAGAGTTATCAAGAAAACCAGGGTTTCTTCTCCCCTCCGCTTCCAGTCTAAAACTTCAGTTGCATCCCAATAGGGGCACATTACAATTTTCTCATCCCCCACAAGGCCTGTGCTTGAGAAGCTCTGTTTCATTCAGGTGCAGCTAAAATGACACAGGCTCCCATTCCTAACCCCAAATTACACCTATAGTAGAAGTTCTGCCCCAGGTGCAGCAGGTAAACATACTGGGAAATGATTGTCCCAGTCCACTCATGTAGCAGAGGTTCCACACTGAAAGGGCCAAACGTAGAAGCTACCACCTATCCTGAAGCTTGGTGGAAGACCCTGGATGTCACTCTTTGAGAAGCCATCTGCTCTCTCCAACCACAGTTGCTGGGAAGTGGCCTAGATATTCTACCAAATAAGAGAGGCAGGTCATAAGGAAAAGGAGCTCCTTAGCTCTACCTGAGGAGATTGACTTTATTTGGAGCACAGTTTGAAAAATTGCATGCCTGAGAACATTGTTGAAACAAACAAAGGTGTTGGTGGATAGCAATTAAGAAGGTTCTAGTGTTTTCAAGATATTTATAGCAACAAGAAAAACAATGGATAATCTAGAAGTTTAATAGAGACAACCTAAAAAAAGTGACTATTAAGGAGAACTCTCCTGGATTATGGTCAATCTTGGCTTTGGAATGCTGTGTATGCACTAAGCTGTGTTCCCTCAGAAGCAATTAGAGCAGGACATGGGAAAGACTTGAAAACATTTCCCAACCAGCTCACATATCCATCAAGAAAGGGCAGACACTTCATTAGCATGACGGACTTAAACAACACTTCTGACCAAATACTGGCTAGAAGTAAGCCAGATTGATCCAGGGGCAACTCCTAGGCAAACATTTAAAAATAAAATTAAATGCTTTCCTGACATGTGTCCCTAGCTCTATGCATGCCCAAGGCTGTATTCTGTCAGAAGCAGAGAAATTCTAAGCTACAAATCCTGGCTGAATGTGATCAAAAACATAAATGTTTGGAATTATGATAACAATCCCAGAGTCACAAACATACATCCAAATAAGGAAAGAAGCATGCAATGGATTCTGTGAAGACAATGATTCTACTTCAGACCCTTTTTCCAATAAGCCATTGATTACATTCTCTTCTCTTTCTATAAAAACTTTCAAAATACCTATAATGATGTGAAGCTCACCTATATGCTTCCTAACTTGAAAATTCAAAGTCTGTCTAGTTGGTATAGGCAACTCCAGGTGCAACACCCCTGGGTAGCATGCCATCCTTTTCAACATGGCAGAATAATGTTATTTACAGCAAGGAATTATTCATGCAATTTGATACTATTAAATGTAATACCTGCTCTGAAAAGCAAATATTTCAAATAAAAAGAGAAATTTAAAAATCACGTTAAAATTATTTGATAGTTACCAGATTCTTTTATTTCTAATTAATCTTGTAATAAATGAGATTTACATAACTTACATGTGATTAACTTGTCAAATTTTATTTCAAATAATTAAATTCCTCCATGATTTGATGAGCAGTATAGTGTAGTAGTTAAAATGGAGTGCGTTGTAATTCTATTACTTCAGTTCATACCTTAGCTCTTTCAGCTCTATCAATGTATACATGAGCAGGCTATGTAAATTCTGTCATGCCCTCTTCACCAGTAAAACTCAAATTATTCTGCCATATTTGGCTTTTGTACGAAATGACATGACATATATTAAAAAAAAACACTTAAAATACTACTTGGCATATACTAAAATCTCAATATTTATTAGCTTTTGTTAAAAGTAAAAATGTATTGATACTTCACTAAGTTGAGTGATGACAATGAAATAATAGTTATATTATACTGTATATAACCTGTCACCTAAATCTGGGCTTAGAATTACCAGGAGAAGTCTGACATATTTCTATAAGATTTACTGAATTCAAGGTTTCAATATAAGGTTTTATTTATTGTAGTGCTGAAAGTTTGATAGCTTAATATTTGAAAGGTGCTTACTGAAATAAAAGGAAATAAAGGTTAATATACACGTTCATATTCCATGACTCACAGTCACAAGCATATACCTATTTTTCTCAAATGCTCTTTAAGTTGTGTTTGATTATTTTTTATCATGAATATCTGCACTTCAAAACAAATGCAAGGATCTATAAAAGAATCAACCATTATGTAGACCAACAATTCAGATTGTCTAGTGTTATTTCAATATTCATTTCAGTTCCCTTGATACGATTTCACTTTCTTAACAAATGAATATAAATTCATTCTGTAAAATTAACACATAAAAAGTCTCTATTAATCACATTGAAAAGTTAAGGAAAATGTAAAGTTAGGGAGAATGAAATATAATGCCTATTTCACAGCAGCTGATGAAGTATACTCTTAAAACAAAACAAAACAAAAACAATACTCTTAGATTGATATAAACCCTGAATCCAGTTAGTCCATTGGAACAAACCTGTATGCAACTGCAATTTTCAACATCAGAGCATTTCCACATGTCAAGGAAGTGTTTCTTAAGTTATATAGTCTAAGTAAGATAAATAACATAATTCTTTCATTTACTTCATGCCTTTGCTTTTTATTCCCCCACCTTTTTTTTCTTCTTCTTTTTTTGAGCATATCAGAATGCAGTGATGTGCTGGCAAATGTTAATAGCTCTCTGTGAAAAATATACTCAGTTTATAAAATTTGCCATTTTCATGATGTAATTTCTCCCATGGTGGCTCCCTATCAAGGTGATGCCACTAAATACACAGCAGAGATATGCCAAACACCTCTGGTAAGCAGGGGACTGGAGCCAGCTCCAGCATATCACTGGTTTTCAGAGAATGCCTTTCTGGAAGTAGCAAAATGCAGGGAAGGAAGTAGCAAGGTGATTATTTTACTGATTCTGTCTGTGCTGCACATAAGATATATGTGGCTTATTGTATGTCATCTTTAATCGTCTCTGCTTTTATTGTAATCACAGCATTTTATTACATGTTCATATGACACTTCACATTTTTAAGAGAACATTTTTGACTCTTTTAGAAAGATGACCTATTCTAAGAAAGGAAGTATAGCTAATACAGTGGTTATTGCGCTAGCCTCCATGTACCGGGGTTCTATTGAGGTACTTCCAAGTAGCAAATAACTCCTACCTGTTTTATGTTTTGGTTTCCTTTCAAGATTTTTTTGGGCTAAAATAAAAGACTAGCACAATTAATAGAGCACAGAATTTGAAATCAGATGAATAATATTTTAAATTCCTGCTGTATAAAATATTGTGACCTCAACTGGTAAATCTGACCTTTCTGGATGATAGATATGAAGACTACAGAAATTGTTGGGAAAGTACCCACCACAGTGTAACAGGTTTTAGTTATACATTTTTGCTAGATGCTATGACTTTCAAGTGATTACTGAAGTATCAGGAGTTTCACTATCATGTTAATGTATAACAGTTGCTAAATGATTCAAATTTGATTTCCTTAACTCCAGAGCAATAGTTAAGACTTCCTATATGTGTATTTAATTGTCTGGAACTATTATAATAGTACCGAATTTCTCCTAGTCCTCCTCTACGAGGAAACTGCTTTATCTTTTACATTCTTAAATACAAGCTAAATTTTACATCCTTATACAAGCTGAAACAAAAGTCTTCTTATCCTATTATTTCTTTAAATTAGATGTCCTTTCTTATCACTGAGTTTCAAGAACTTTCTTGCTTTCTGATCTATTCTGTTCATCTTCTTTGACCTTAAAATTTCCATTTTCTCTTGCCAAATAATTTTGCTCTCCATCTATTTCATAAGCTGACAATTGGCTTACTTTGCCAAACTCAAACTCCATGTCAATACTTGTTTTTTTTTATTTCATTAACTCAACAACAAAATTGTAGGTTTTTATGAGTGTTACACGAGTTCAAATATGTGAAACAGAATATTGCCTGACCTAGAAAAGGCTTAATAAATTTTAGTTACTACCAATACATACTTACTGAGTTTCTACTATATTCTGTGCTCTGTGAAACGTGCTGGTGATAAAACAGTTAAGAAGATAGTTGTCTATTGCTCTTATAAATGCTGGTATTCTAAACTGAAATACAGAGAAGTATACAGAAAGTTGCTTAAAAGATACATGATAATGGCACAGAAAAAAGGGCTTTGAAGATAAAGGTAAGATTTCTTGGAAAAAGGGGAATCTAAGCTGGTATTATTAGTAAAAAATCAAGATTTTCATCAAGTCACATTACTCCTAAAATATGTCCTATGAAGACATTTACAGATTTAAAAATATAATATTACTTAGTTTTGTTTAAGATGGATGCAAACTAAAGTAACACCCAGTTCAACATTTTGTTGTACTGATAAGAAGAATTAGACTCAAAGAGACTAAATAGTGTGTCCATGGTTTCAGCTAAAATTTGAAATACTTTATTTTTGAAACACAACTGTACTTCAACCATTGAAAAAGAGAGTAAATCAACAAAAGAATTTTTTGGCCAAAAAAACCCCCAATATTCTTATGGTACGGCTATCCTATGAAAGAAAATAGCCAATGAATAAAATGAAAATCTTGGTCCATTCATGCAACAAATATTTTTTGAGTGCAAAAAATATGTGTAGTAGTTCAGGTAGTAAAAAGAAAATACAATGTACTTTGTTTCTGGCTGCTTCCATTCATATAGAAGAGAAAAATAAGCATATAACATTGAGAATAAATAGTAAGCCAGAGAGTGAGAAGTGCTCTGGAGAAAAGTAAGGTAGATAGGGGAGTCAGAGAATGCTTGAGTGGGGTTATTTATTTTTAATAATTTATTTTAATAATAATATTTTGACAATATATTTTTAATAATGTGATCACAGAAGGCCTCACTTTTACAGGTGACATATGATCAGATATCTGCAGTGGATGGGTGAACAAACTACTTGTATAACTGGGGAAAGAGGTTTCCGGGTAGAATGAAGATCAAGATCAAGATTGTTTGTAAGAGTCTTTGGTTTATTTGAATAACTGCGATTGTCCCATGATTGCTGTAATAAAGGGAAAAAAGAGGTAACTAGAGGAGATTATGGCAACTGGTAGAGGATTTAGTAATAAATGCTAATTACTGCCAATATAGACTTATTAATTTTCTACTATATCCTATGCTCTGGGAAAGGTTCTGATGATAAAAGTTAACAGGATAGATGTCTGTTGCTCCCAAAAATGCTGATATTTTAAACTGAGATAAAGAGAAGTTAATAGAAAATGTTTGGAGGATACATGATAATGGCAAAGAAAAAAAGGCTTTGAAGATAAAGGAAAGATTTCTTGGAAGAAGGGGAATCTAAACTAGTACAATTGATGAATATCAAGATTTTCATCAAGTCATATTACTCCCAAAATATGGTGAATGTGTAAATATTGAAATGAGCTCTCAGTAAAACTGAATGTCATTGTCAGGTTATGACCAAAATTTCAACACCATTTAACTTACCTTGACAAACAGTAATTGTGGCTGCTTGGGGGTGAATAGTCTATAAAAGCCCATGATGAAAAAAAAGTGGGGGGTAGAGGCTATGCCAATAATCAAAGTAAAAATTAAAGGTTGTAGCAATGGAGATGACAAGAAGTGAATAGAATCTGGATATAATTTGCTCCTAGATTCCATATAAGATAATGTAGTCAAATATGACTAAATAGAAGTTAGCTTGAAAGAATGAATAATGGAATCATAATTTACTGAGATTTGGAACACTGATAGTGATAAAGGTTTTGAAAAAGTAATTAGAGGTTTCACCTTGAACGTATTATGATTGGTATACCAATTGTATTTTTAAGAGAAAATTAATGTTGAAGTTAGAAAAAAAGTTGAGATATATTTTGGAGTTTTCACCATAAAAAGAAATTTAAAGCATAAGACTAGATGAGATCACCTAAAGAATGAGGAAGATAGAAAAGAGAGGTGATGATGGAGCCTTGGGTTTCTGTGATGTGTCCATTTGACTGGGTTAAGGATGCCCAGATAGATGCTAAGACATTTTTTTCTGGGTATATCCATGAGAGTATCCATGAGAGTACAAGACAGTATAAGAGAAGACAAATTTTAGACATTGACTATATATAATTATATATAAAAATATTAGCATTTGATTTCAGGTAGACTGATTAAAGAAGATCCACACTCACAAATGTGGGCAGACGTCATCATCTGCTGAGGGCTTGACACAACCAAAAAGTAGAGGAAGGGTGAGTTTACTATCTCTTCTTGAGTCAGGTCATTCATCTTTTCCTGCCCTCAGATATTTTAGATCCTAGTTATTGAGCCTTCAGACTCTGGGACTTATACCAGTGGCTATTCTGGTTCTCAATTCTTCAGACTCAGACTGAATTACACCACTGGCTTTCTTGGCTCTTCAGACTGGAGATGGCATGTCATAGGACTTTTCCCCCTCCATATCATCATGAGCCAATTCTCATAATAAATCCCTTCTTATATGTCCATATACATCTTAGTTCTGTTTCTCTGAAGAACACTGACTAATACGGCTCTCCTATTTTCATAAGTTAGGGAGGTAAGAAGCAGCTTTAAAAACTGAGTAGTAGAAACTAGAGGAATAATAGACATAGAAGAAGAATACAGAGAAAATATTTTAAAGAGAGAGTGATCAACTAAGATGTTTCTAGGTCAAATAAAACAATAACTGATAAATATTATATTAATCATGGGATTTAGCAAATGTGAAAATGGCATCAATATCTGACTGGAGTGAGTACGAGACAGTATAAGAGCAGACAAATTTTAGACATTGACTATATATAATTCTTTCTGATGAGTTATATGAAAGATAAAAAATGAAGTATATGCTAAGGGGAAATATATATATATAAAAAGGGATTTTGGGGGTTCAAGACATGAGTAATACACATAATTAACAGAAATTGCTGGGAAAGAACTGGGACAAAGCATAAATTGATAATCCTAATGCAATAGAGTGATGAGGAAAGCTGTTTGAGAAATATCTTCCTGGTTGTCCTTGGGTTGGGATCTGGCGAGGTTATTATCATTAATAAAGAGCTGAAGAAGAGTTTCAGAATAAGTACAAGGAAATGATATTTGATGGACCCTGGAATATGAACTGGAAAAGAAGAGAAGCAAGAGAGCCAGGCATGGTGGCTCATGCCTGTAATCTTAACTTTGGGAGGTTGAGGCAGGAGGATCCCTTGAGATCAGGAGTTGGAGACCAGCCTGAACAACATAGGGAGACTCTGTCTCTAATTAAAAAGAGAGAGAGAGAAGTGAGAGAAGTGAGTATCTGAGAGATTATTTTAGATTATTAGATTTTGAAATACACTAAATTTATCAGAGCAAGACATTTAAATATGAAGTACAGTGACAATATAGACATACACATGATGACTCTCAGTTCATAAATTAACTATTATATATTGTAATAAGTAGAGATTCTAGAAGAAAAGTATCAAAAAACTCTTCTACTAAATAAATAATATCTAGTTAAAGGGATGATCATTTCTGAACTAATAATATTTTAAACCAGATGTTCCCACTAGAGTTTGCATTTATAAGGTTAAAGCCCCATTATGTCAAAATTATTATGTTCTACAGATAAATTCCCATATAATAGAATATTAGAATAATGAAACTTGGTTTTTCAACTATTAAAACCTCAAATAATTTAGGCAAATTAAAAAAAATTGAGTTATTGAAAGTTTGAAATTAAAACCTTCAATCGTGATTGAACAGAGATAGGAAAACATTACCCATTAAATAAATAGGGAATTATACTGAGTTAATATATTGAATTAATTAGAACAAAAATATTTTCTAGCCTAGTGGATTGATTTTCAAGTATTAGTATTGAATGTTGCTGTTGAATTATTCCAATATGTTTTTATTTTAATGTTAAGGAATAGCAAAAGTCATCTTTTCAGGAGCTTTAAAATGTTTTGTGTTAAGTCCCATCTGTTTAGCTAGGTTTAATATGTGAGCATTTGATGATTAGTTTTATATTACTGGATGCCTGGGAGGAAATTAAAACAGATTATTTCACTTCCTTTGGCATATTTTATTTGAAAATAAATATTCTTTAATGATTGAATAAATTTGCATTTAAAATTATCAGAGAATTTTATTTTTTTCTATGTGTAGTATGATTTTGTTTAAGCTAATAAAAGAAACTGTCATTAATTAACATTTTAATCACTGTAGGTATTTCTGGTAATTGCATGTTTCAATGCTGTCATATTCACTTCCAAAAAGATTCTGATTCATAAATATTCAATCGCTTGGGTTCATTTTCATTATAAAAGCATCAATGCCAATGTTATTTATAGGAAAAGTAATATAATTACAGCTACTGCTTTAAAACATAAATGCCTTCAATTGCTGTTATTAGTGCATAAACGTATGACTAGATAGTTAACATAGAAAGAAGATACAAAGAGAACAAGTAAATATAAAAATGAAGTATAGATCATTTTATCAGGTTCATAGGAAATTTCCACTTAAATTGTGTACTGCTGCACAAATTTTTAAATGAGAAGCTTAACAATTGATGTATGAAAGTAATCATTACATAGTCAATAAAACATGCTATTCTTTACAAAATCTCTATTTCAAAGACACTTCTGTGCTATGATAGTAGCTGCAGAATTAGTGGAGTATTTAGGTTAATAATTTGGCAACTCTAGAAAAGTGGTTCTCATCCTAGGTACAAAAATTTGCCCTCAGTTATTCTGAATCAGCTGATAAGCATTGAATTTAGAAATGCTTCTTTTAAATGACTACTCTAGGTGATTTCAATTCAGAAATCTGTGACCATTCTTTGAAAACCTATGTTGTAGAAGAATTACTGGATTTGTTGTTTTGTTTTTATTTTGTTTGGTGTAAAATTGCTTTTAACTCCTAGATTTATTTTCAAGATTCTTTCATATTTTGCTCCAGTGGAGCAAGTTCCCCTGTCTGGATACACACACACACACACTTACACACACACACGCCCCAAACAGACAAGCCCTGTGGTGCTTCTTTGCTTTTTCAGATTGTCTGTAGATTTGGTTTATCTATTCCAGGTATAAATAGAGGCCTACATGAATGTAATATAATTAGGTAAATTGTATTGCTATAGTTTTAGTTGGAAACATGGAAGCTCATAGTTTCCAAATAGAATTTTGATTTGTTAATCCTTTCAAGTTTTATTTAACATGCAATAATTTTTGCAAATTTTTTTTATTTCTTAATTCTTTTTACAAGGTATCAGGTTATTTTTCATGATCATAAAAAAAGCTTTATAAATTTCTAAATATTTTAACTGTCCTGCAGGTTCCAATATCAAAACATGAGTTTTTATGACTTACTTCAAATAATTATTGTTTGATTGTTTAACCCAAACCAAACTAAGTCGATTCAACAAATACTATGCCAGTCACTGTGGTATGGTTTGAATGTTTGTCCCCTCTAAAACTCATGTTAAAATGTAATTGCCATTGTTAAGAGGTGCCAGTATTAAGAAGGGAAACATTTAAGAAGTGATTAATGTGGTTACAAGAGAGTAAGTTTAGCTCCCTTTTTTCTCTTTGTCCTTCTGCCATGAGAGGACATGGCTTTCCTTCTCTCCAGAGAGTACAATATTCAAGGTGTCACCTTGGAATCAGATTTACCATAGCTGCAGGTGCCCTGATATCATATTTCCCAGTCTCCAGGACCACAAGTGAATACATTTTCATTTTTTTATACATTATCCAGTCTCAGGTATTCTGTCATAGCAGCAGAAAATGGATAAGACACTGTGTATAAAGCAAAGACTATCAAGAAGCCTAACATATTCTGTCATTGAGGTTTTCAAATTTATCCTTGCACATCCACCCCTGTCCCCAGTAAAAGATTATTTCATGCTTGGTACTTAATTCATATAATGATAAATCCAAATGAAATAACATTGGCTCTCCTGGTTAGTATACAATATTTTCCCTTTTCCCTACTGTACTGTCTGGAAATTAGTCACTATGAATAGGGTACATTAAAAGAGTGGGACATTATGTTCTCACTCATTGAGGGTGAAGTCTACATAATTAATTTGAAATTCTTCTGCATACAACATTTGTCTCTTCTCTACCGCTCATCGTTTTATTTAATCATTTATTTATGTCAGCATGTATTAAATGATACTTACTTTATAGGTTAGGTTATAATCCAATACTCTTTATTCATTTTCTTGTTCTAATTGTTTCAGCTTTGGACATTGGGGGTTCTTTCAGTTGGTTCCTCTGACACTTTGACATAATCCCATGTCAATGTGTTTAATGTTTAGTTGCTTTTGCATTCTTGCTTCCTTCCTAGCACTGCAAACATTCCAGGCTCATCTTGTATATTTCCTCCTCCAGTTCTAGAATTAACCATTTCTCCAAAAGTTATGATTTTTTTATTAGACAGTCATATTATAAACCAAGATATGAGCATTAGGTGTGTTTATTGCAATAAGGGAATCATTTCTTTAAGGATTTCTTATTTGATTACGCAAAGAAGTATATGTATACATACTAACATGTATATACACGTAACTGTAAGTATTTTCCTTGTAACCATCTATATCTATAAGCTAAACATGAGTAAATACTAATGTCTCTGATTCTAGTCCATTAACACATAAGCCATTCTATCACTCTTCCCTTGCTAGTCTGCCTATCTCCTCTCCAACAGTAAGAAACCCGATTATTAACACAATTGTTCAATTTCAGAACACGCGTGTAGCCATATGAGAATTATTAACCTGTTCCCTATGGGAAACAAATTTTATTGATGAGAATGCAGTGTTTATGTGCCATTTCTTTTGAATTTAGACTTATAGCCCCAACTATTTTCAAAGTTACTTGGGTCATTACCTTTATGCTTATACACTTTATTTAGGTTGTTTTGTACATTTGCACAGTTCAACTTTCGTTTTCAGAATATGTATTCCTTCCTTTTATAGTTTGGGTAATAATGCAATACTTCCTTATTTATTTTCTTTTACAAATTTGTCCACCTTTGGCTATTGGGAGTTCTAGATTATCTGACTTCCTAAATTATTTGTATAACTTGCATAAATTAAAGATTACTCTTTGTGTTGTACAACTCTATGGATTTGGATGAATAAGGTAATTTATGTAACATTTTGTATGATGCAGAATGATTTCAATGCTCTACAAAACCCCCTGCATGGAATCTCATCAACCATTTCTTCCTGAGTAATATGCATTTAAGACCATTCATGTCTTTTTGTTGGTTGATGGCTATTTTTTTAATTGCTGAAAAATATTCCTTTGTATGAAGGTACTACAGTTTGTTTATACGTTCATCTTTTGAAAGGCTACTTGGTTGGTTCCTGATGCTGGCATTTATAAAACAGTTATTGTAAATATTCTTGCACTGATTATTTATGGACATGTTTTATAATTAGTTGTGTAAATACCTAGATTAGCCTTATAGAAAGAATTAGAGGAATTATTCCCTTTGTTTATATTTTCTGGAAGAAATTGTAGAAAACTGGTATATTTTCTCAGATGTTTTGTAGAGGTCAGTGAATCCAACTGAGTTTCTTTGGGGGGAAAGATTATAAATTACTTATTCAATTTATTTAATTAATAATAGTAGGTCTTTTAAAATAATCTATTTCTCCTTGTATATGTTTTCTTAGATTCTGTCTTTTAGAAAATTGGTACATTTCAACTTAGTTGTAATATTCGTGTGATATAATACTATAATGTTGTTCATAGTATTCCTTTATTACCATTTTAATACTCGTGGGATCAGTGATTATGACCCACCTTTCATTTCTGATATTGGTAAATTTTGTCTTCCTTTTTCTTCTTGGTTAATGTGGCTAGACTATCAATTTTATTGGTCTTCATTGATATTTTTTTGAGCAACCAGCTTTTTGTTTTAGAAATTTCCAAAGTGATTTTCTTTCCTCATTTTTACTGATTTCTGCTCTATTTATTTGTTATTTCTCTTACACTTACTTTAGGCATTCATGGCTCTTCTTTATCTAATATTCTAAGTGGATATATTATTTTTAAATATATTTTAAAAAACAACTGACTAAATCTTTTCCAAATTGTGTAGATTTCTTAGGAACTAGTTGTCATAAGTTTATGTCAGTTTCCTCTCTCTACTGTCAAATGGTGATTACTGAAGCAACCAGAATGGATGTTTATAACAAAACTTTTAGCTCTAAGACTTACGCATTTTTTCATACTTCTATGGGTATCAAAAATTTGTCTTAACCTTTCAATGAGATTTTGGAAAAAACAAATGTCAAAATCCATATCATTAAATAATGAACACCATAACCAAAAAATTATCATCTTAAATGTATATACAGGAAGAAGAGCTTTATACATCTCTTTGTATCTTTCATAAACCTTCACACGACAGATTTTATTTTAAGGCATAAAGGATCATATGTGGATCCTAGTGTTAGTCAGGAGGACATAATGTTCTACCTATTCCAACTTTTGGATTCCAAGTATAATAATTATCTATATATATGGGTCCTAAGAAATAAAACTTGACTTGAATAGCATATTTTAAGGACATATTTTTATTTCATTAATGCTAGGATATACATTTCATTATTGCCAGGTTACTTTAAGAAATCATATTGCAAACAGTGGTCAATATTTGTATTTTACTTAAATACAATGTTTGACAATTTTATGTTTGACAACAAAAACTATTATGACCATAAAAACAAAAGCTATCTTAATAACTTACTCTATTGCTGCTACATGACAAATCATCTTCTATGACACATGATTGGAGTATCTAAACATTTCAATTTTTTTCTTAAGTACTTTAAGAAATAATTTAAAGTACACTAATATGCAACAAAGGAACTGTTGGCATATCAAAAAATGTGTCTTAGGAGTATACTTGTCTATCTTTATTAGATACTCATCTTGAATTTTAGTAATATTTGTATAATAACAAAACTTTTCTACTTGTTCTCAGTGATTTGAATTTCTCTCTGGCAATTTTTTTAATTTTTAAAAAATATATACTAGTTTTAAAATATATATCTTTTTCATATTGTGGTGGGTTACAAAAATAAAAAAATATACTTAATAAATAAAGATATATATTTTTTCAACATAAAAAAGAGGGATATAACTCATCCTTTATACTATTGCATTCCCAAATGGAAAACTAAATAATGTAAAAATACCCATTCTTCCCAAATTTATATCTAAAGCAGTTCTTATCAAATACCAGTAGACTGCTTTATAACTTAATAAAATGATTTTAATGTTGTTTACTAAATGGGAGAATAACATGAGGGGCCTTCTAGTTTTAATAATGCAGGGTAGTTCAGATTACAACTTCCTTTGAGAAAAACTACTGACTTGGGCACAGAGTCAACTTCTGCTTTATGATATTAGAATAGTAATGGTACAGAACATAAAGAAAACCCAATTGGTAAGCCTGACATATGGGACTTTATATATATAGTCAGAAAATAGTCCAATTCCAACAAGGATGAAAGCCCTTATCCAATTATCTCAATACCGGAAAAAGGTTTTAGGGTTATCTAGAGTTTTTCTTTCCCATAGCCACCTACCTGAAGGCAACATAAAGCCTTCTGAAGGAAAGTAACAGCATATTATTTTCCTTATTTTCCAAATTTTACTACAGTTTTTTCACATACAATATAAAGTGTGCGATTTAAACACACACATAAGCGCGCGTACCAACAAAAATATGACTAGTGATGCAATAAATTAAGAAAATCTCATAAAAACCAAAGGAAGCATTGGATAACAGAAAAAGACTCAAAGAGATTTAGTTAATGGGGTTTTCAAACATGGACTTTAAAACAATGTCCTAAATAGATTCAAAGAAATATAAACAAAGATTAGGAAAATATGGCCAGGAACTGGAAACCATAGAATACTTAACTTTTGAACACTTGTTGGTTACTAAAAGTTTAAAGCCAACTGGTATAGTTTAAAACAACCAAGTGAAATACATTGTTACTTAAAATGAAAGTTGCATACATTAAAAAACTGACATTAGTAGATGCAGATAATATTTTAAAGTGTATATTGTGATGCTTTTACTATTAAACTCAGAGTACATTTTGTATTATACTGTCCAATAATATCCAAAGTGAAATGAAACATAATTTATTCATTATATATATATATTTATATATATATATATACATATAACCTATGTGTGAATAGAATTTAAGCTCTATGATGTGTTTAAATCTATTTTTGGAAATTAGATAGCAAGATTAAATACTCTATGTTACAAATGATATTGCAATATGTCTGTCTTCTAATCAACTGTATAAGAGAAAAAGAGACATTTTTGACAGATTTCAGAATATCAGATTTCATAGACTATTAGAGTTTTTTAGAAAGAAAAATAAAATCTAGAAATACAGAATTTGAAAATATAGATATGTGATTTGTTCTTATATTTCTAAATGAATAGTTCATTCCTACACTTACTAATTTAGGTAAATGACTTTTAAACTTCCCATCTATTTAGCATGATACAGCATTAAAAAGTCATTTTTTTTTTCTTGGAGTAAGTGTAGATTTTAAAACTTGAAGTGGGAGGTCTGGACAGGGTAAGAAGTTAGTTCCCTTATTACAATTTTTAATTTCCTGATGTCATCAGGAACTAGCTATTCAGGCACTTACTTAATCCCTTTAGACGTTTTTTTCTGATTATCTTAGTGCCCCAAAATTTAGCTTGAAAATTTGGTTTGAATCATTATGTAAATTGCTTTATGAGAGAATGTAACCTTATGTCCTCATGATAGAAACAGAAATTGAAAGAGGCAATCCTGAATTAATGATTTCTTCCCTGAAGAGTCTTAAGTGTGAAAAAGCTCACAAGGAAGGGTTATGGATTTTATTTTATTTTATTTTATTTTACATCTAGTTTTGGCTCTAGACTAGTGTAGAATGAAAGTTACACAGGAGTCATTTTATCTTTGCTCCCTGCCAACTTAAAACCAGAACAGTTATTCTTTCTTATGGGAAGATGCAAAAGTGGTGATTAATTTATTTATTAGAATCATTAATGACAAGAAGAGAAAATATGGATTTCATAAGATCTCAAAATGTTTTGACTAAAATTGTGTATATTTTTACCATGACATACAAAAGAGAAAATAACTTCCGCTGGGCAAATCTGCAACTTGTAAAGCTGAGCTGTATGATAAAGAGATATGCTAAGGTACATATGTCTTTCAAAGAAATGGAGGAAATTACTGAAGACTATATTTAGAGGATATTGGAAATGATTGCTGAATCCTAATGTTAAAGTTATAGATACAGTTACACTTTTTTGTTTTATTATACTTTAAGTTCTGGGATACACGTGCAGAACAGGCAGGTTTGTTACATAGGTATATATGTGCCATGGTGGTTTGCTGCACCCATCAACCCATCATCTACATTAGGTATTTCTCCTAATGCTATCCCTCCCCTAGCTCCCTGACATGCTCTGGTGTGTGATGTTCCCTTCGCTGTGTCCATGTGTTCTCATTGTTTAAGTCCCACTTACGAGTCAGAACACGCGGTGTTTGGTTTTCTGTTCCTATGTTAGTTTTCTGAGAATGATGGTTTCCAGCTTCATCCATGTCCCTGCAAAGGATATGAACTCATCCTTTTTTATGGCTGCATAGTATTCCATAATATATATGCACCATATTTTCTTTATCAGGTCTATTATTGATGGGCATTTGGGTTGGTTCCAAGTCTTTGCTATTGTGAACAGTCCTGCAATAAACATACATGTGCATGTGTCTTTATAGTAGAATTATTTATAATACTTTGGGTATATACCCAGTAATGGGATTGCTGGGTCAAATGGTATTTCTGGTTCTAGATCCTTGAGGAATCGCCATACCGTCTTTCACAATGGTTGACTTAATTTACACTCCCACCAACAGTGTAAATCGTTCCTGTTTCTCCACATCCTCTCCATCATCTGTTGTTTCCTGACGTTTTAATGATTGCCATTCTAACTGGTGTGAGATGGTATCTCATTGTGGTTTTGATTTTCATTTCTCTAATGACAAGTGATAATGAGCTTTTTTTCATGTTTGTTGGCCATATAAATGTCTTCTTTTGAGAAGCGTCTGTTCATATCCTTTGACCAATTTTTCATGGGGTTGTTTTTTTCTTGTAAATTTGTTTAAGTTCTTTGTAGATTCTGGATATTAGCCCTTTGTCAGATGGGTAGATTGCAAAATTTTTCTCCCATTCTGTAGGCTGCCTGTTCACTCTGATGATAGTTTCATTTGCTGTGCAGAAGCTCTTTAATTAGATCCCATTTGTCAATTTTGGCTTTTGTTGCTGTTGCTTTTGTTGTTTCAGTCATTGAAATCTTTGGCCATGACTATGTCCTGAATGGTATTGCCTAGGTTTTCTTCTAGGGTTTTTATGGTTTTAGGTCTTACGTTTAAGTCTTTAATCTATCTTGAATTAATTTTCGTATAAGGTGTAAGGAAGGGGTCCACTTTCAGTTTTCTGCATATGGCTAGCCAGTTTTCCCAACACCATTTATTAAATAGGGAATCCTTTCCCAATTCGTTGTTTGTGTCAGGTTTGTCAAGGATCAGATGGTTGTAGATGTGTGGTGTTATTTCTGAGGTCTCTGTTCTGTTCCATTGGTCCATATATCTGTTTTGGTCCCAGTACCATGCTGTTTTGGTTACTGTAGCCTTGTAGTGTAGTTTGAAGTCAGGTACCGTGATGTCTCCAGCTTTGTCCTTTTTGCTTAGGATTGTCTTGGCTATATGGGCTCTTTTTTTGGTTCTGTATGAAATTTAAAGTAGTTCTTTCTAATTCTGTGAAGAAAGTCAATGGTAGCTTGATAGGGATAGCATTGAATCTATAAATTACTTTAGGCAGTATGGCCATTTTCACAATATTGATTCTTCCTATCCATGAGCACAGAATATTTTTCCATTTGCTTGTGTCCTCTCTTATTTCCTTGAGAAGTGGTTTGTAGTTCTCCTTAAAGAGGTACTTCACATTCCTTGTAAGTTGTATCTCTAGGTATTTAATTATCTTTGTAGCAAATGTGAATGGGAGTTCACTCATGATTTGGCTCTCTGTTTGTCAAGACCTTTGATAAGATTCAACACCCCTTCATGCTAAAAACTCACAATAATCTAGGTATTGATGGAACATATCTCAAAATAATAAGAGCTATTTATGAGAAACCCACAGCCAATATCATACTGAATGGGCAAAAGCTGGAAGCATTCCCTTTGAAAACCAACACAAGACAAGGATGCCCTCTCTCACCACTCCTATTCAACATAGTATTGGAAGTTCTGGCCAAGACAATCAGGCAAGAGAAATAACTAAAGTGTATTCAAATAGGAAGAGAGGAAGTAAAATTGTCTCTGTCTGCAGATGACATGATTGTATATTTAGAAAACCCCATCATCTCTGCTCAAAATCTTCTTAAGCTGATAAGCAACTGCAGCAAATTCTCAGGATACAAAACCAATGTGCAAAAATCACAAGCATTCTTACACAGTTACACTTCTTTTAAGTGAAAAACCTAATTCACACATTTAGGTTTGATAATTTTTCCTTTTGCTATTTTCCCGACCATGAAGTCATTTCCATTAGGATCTAGTTACGTTCTTCAATAACAACAAGAAAACCACTGAAATTTATGTAAAGAGTTAACTACATAAGCCATCATTCTATTTTCTGCATCACTTTCCCCAAAATCTTAATAGAGATCTCTGAGACACAGAGAAAATTGCCTCTTCTTTCATACCAGTAAAATAAAAGAAGCCACATTGCCTAAATTTCTGTTTTTGACTGTAGAATATACATTTATGTGTTATTTTTTCTATTTATGGTAAAGCAAATTGCATTTGATATCCACATCTACAATTGAGTCACTGTCTAAACATCCACATCCTTACTAAGGGAAGACTTGCAGTGATCAAAGAAGATTCAATGGAATTTTGCCATTGTTTTTGCTTTTATTTGCACTTTTGTATTTGTTTGTTCTTTTATTAAGCATTGAAATTGTAGGACTCCTGAATTGACAATGTAAGTGGCAGTTTCACTGTGAAGTGGTCACCTCTCAGAACAGATCATGATAAATCAGATTTTGTTTTCAGTATTCCTGATGAACTGCAATGCAGAATCACTAAAAAAAAAAAAACAAAAAAAAAACTTTTACTCAATCCCTCACATGTTGAATAAGCATTTACTCAGACACAAGAAGAATCCTTTTGTTTTAATTTTGTATTCCTTCAACCTGACCCTCAATATAAAAGAGAAGGCAAACATAGCAGTGATCAGACTGGAATTACACATAAAGTGAGTAAAAGTTTTGGGAGTAAAAACCTACGGGAGTAAAAACATACAAATTATCTTTCTTTCATTAATATGAAAAAATTAACTCATGCCATAGAAGACATAAACCTAACACATGGAAACAAGGCAAATTTGATGAAGCCATAGGTATTGTATTACCAAGAAATTAACACTATACCATTTGTCCATTTGTCTAGACACAAGGTCAATGATATCTTAAAGCATTTTCTCATACAAAATCATTTAGTTTATTTCTTTGCCTGATACATGCATATTTTTGCCTGAGTTTTTATGTTATTTATGTATGTAATTATTTCAATTGAAAAATAAAAATCATATACATTTTTGGTATACAACTTAGTGTTTGATTTGCATATACATTGTGGAATGGCTAAATCAGGCTAATTAACGTAAGTATTAAATCACATACTTATGAGAACATTTGAAATATCTTTTAGCAATTTTCATGTCTATAATATTGTACATTATTATTAACTATAGTAACCATATTGTACAATAGGTCTCCTAAACTTTATATGCTTATTTAAATATTAGATAAATTGACACCTGACACATTTATTAATTTTAAAGGTACTGTTTTTACTTTCTTATAAAAACATTAAAGTAAAAAGATGTTTTACATTTTATTATATTTTAGAATATCTTTGCATATATAATTTGTACTAAAATCCAAATTTGTAAGAGAAGTTAACTATCAGTCCCATAATTTCTTAGTTCATATGCTGACTCATGTTATTTTCGTTAAAGGTTAAGATAATAGCGCATGAATTCCAAGTTGGTTTAGTCCAAACCCAAACTATATCTAAATGACATAGAAATATATATATGTGTGTGTGTGTGTGTGTGTGTGTGTGTGTGTGTGTGTGTGTATTATACTTTAAGTTCTAGGGTACATGCGCACAACATGCAGGTTTGTTACATATGTATACATGTGCCATGTTGGTGTGCTGCACCCATTAACTCGTCATTTACATTAGGTATATCTCCCAATGCTATCCCTCCCCACTCCCCCCACTCCACAACAGGCCCCGGTCTGTGATGTTCCCCTTCCTGTGTCCACGTGTTCTCATTGTTCAATTCCCACCTATGAGTGAGAACATGCGGTGTTTGGTTTTCTGTCCTTGCGACAGTTTGCTGAGAATGATGGTTTCCAGCTTCATCCATGTCCCTACAAAGGACATGAACTCATCATTTCTTATGGCTGCATAGTATTCCATGGTGTATATGTGCCACATTTTCTTAATCCAGTCTATCATTGATGGACATTTGGGTTGGTTCCAAGTCTTTGCTATTGTGAATAGTGCCACAATAAACATACGTGTGCATGTGTCTTTATAGCAGCATGATTTATAGTCCTTTGGGTATATACCCAGCAATGGGATGGCTGGGTCAAATGGTATTTCTAGCTCTAGATTCTTGAGGAATTGCCACACTGTCTTCCACAATGGTTGAACTAGTTTACAGTCCCACCAACAGTGTAAAAGTGTTCCTATTCTCCACATCCTCTCCAGCACCTGTTGTTTCCTGACTTTTTAATGATTGCCATTCTAACTGGTGTGAGATAGTATCTCCTTGTGGTTTTGATTTGCATTTCTCTGATGGCCAGTGATGATGAGCATTTTTTCATGTGTCTGTTGGCTGCATAAATGTCTTCTTTTGAGAAGTGTCTGTTCATATCCTTTGCCCACTTTCTGATGGGTTTTTTTTTTCTTGTAAATTTGTTTGAGTTCTTCGTAGACTCTGTATATTAGCCCTTTGTCAGATGAGTAGATTGCAAAAATTTTCTCCCATTCTGTAGGTTGCCTATTCACTCTGATGGTAGTTTGTTTTGCTGTGCAGAAGCTCTTTAGTTTAATTAGATCCCATTTGTCAATTTTGGCTTTTGTTGCCATTGCTTTTGGTGTTTTAGACATGAAGTCCTTGCCCATGCCTATGTCCTGAATGGCATTGCCTAGGTGTTCTTCTAGGGTTTTTATGGTTTTAGGTCTAACATGTAAGTCTTTAATCCATCTTGAATTGATTTTTGTATAAGGTGTAAGGAAGGGATCCAGTTTCAGCTTTCTACATATGGCCAGTTTTCCCAGCACCATTTATTAAATAGGGAATCCTTTCCCCATTGCTTGTTTTTGTTAGGTTTGTCAAAGATCAGATGGTTGTAGATGTGTGGTATTATTTCTGAGGGCTCTGTTCTGTTCCATTGGTCTATATCTCTGTTTTGGTACCAGTACCATGCTGTTTTGGTTTCTGTAGCTTTGTAGTATAGTTTGAAGTCAGGTAGCTTGATGCCTCCAGCTTTGTTCTTTTGGCTTAGGATTGTCTTGGCAGTGCAGGCCCTTTTTGGTTCCATATGAACTTTAAAGTAGTTTTTTCCAGTTCTGTGAAGAAAGTAATTGGTAGCTTGATGGGGATGGCATTGAATCTATAAATTATCTTGGGCAGTATGGCCATTTTCATGATATTGATTCTTCCTATCCATGAGCATGGAATATTCTTCCATTTGTTTGTGTCTTCTTTTATTTTGTTGAGCAGTGGTTTGTAGTTGTCCTTGAAGAGGTCCTTCACATCCCTTGTAAGTTGGATTCCTAGGTATTTTATTCTCTTTGAAGCAATTGTGAATGGAAGTTCACTCATGATTTGGCTCTCTGTTTGTGTTATTTGTGTATAAGAATGCCTGTGATTTTTGCACATTTATTTTATATACTGAGACTTTGCTGAAGTTGCTTATCAGCTTAAGGAGATTTTGGGCTGAGATGATGGGGTTTTCTAAATATACAATCATGTCATCTGCAAACAGGGACAATTTGACTTCCTCTTTTCCTAACTGAATACACTTTATTTCCTTCTCCTGCCTGATTGCCCTGGCCAGAACTTCAAATACTATGTTGAATAGGAGTGGTGAGAGAGGGCATCCCTGTCTTGTGTCAGTTTCCAAAGGGAATGCTTCCAGTTTTTGCCCATTCAGTATGATATTGGCTGTGGGTTTGTCATAAACAGCTCTTATTATTTTCAGACATGTCCCATCAATACTAAATTTATTTAGAGTTTTTAGCATGAAGCGCTGTTGAATTTTGTCAAAGGGCTTTTCTGCATCTATTGAGATAATCATGTGATTTTTGTCTTTGGTTCTGTTTATATGCTGGATTACGTTTATTGATTTGCATATGTTGAACCAGCCTTGCATCCCAGGGATGAAGCCCACTTATCATGGTGGATAAGTTTTTTGATGTGCTGCTGGATTTGGTTTGCCAGTATTTTATTGAGGATTTTTGCATCAATGTTCATCAGGGATATTGGTCTGAAATTCTCTTTTTTAGTTGTGTCTGTGTCAGGCTTTGGTATCAGGATGATGCTGGCCTCATAAAATGAGTTAGGGAGGATTACCTCTTTTTCTATTGATTGGAATAGTTTCAGAAGGAATGGTACCAGCTCCTCCTTGTAACTCTCGTAGAATTTTGCTGTGAATCCATCTGGTCCTGGACTTTTTTTGGTCGGTAGCTTATTAATTATTGCCTCAATTTCAGAGCCTGTTATTGGTCTATTCAGGGATTCAACTTCTGCCTGGTTTAGTCTTGGGAGGTTGTATGTGTCCAGGAATTTATCCATTTCTTCTAGATTTTCTAGTTTATTTGCGTAGAGGTGTTTATAGCATTCTCTGATGGAATTTTGTGTTTCTGTGGGATTGGAGGTGATATCCCCTTTAACATTTTTTATTGCGTCTATTTGATTCTTCTCTCTTTTCTTCTTTATTAGTCTTGCTAGCGGTCTATCAATTTTGTTGATCTTTTCAAAAACCAGCTCCTGGATTGATTGATTTTTTGAAGGGTTTTTTGTGTCTCTATTTCCTTCAGTTCTGCTCTGATCTTAGTTATTTCTTGCCTTCTGCTAGCTTTTGAATGTGTTTGCTCTTGATTCTCTAGTTCTTTTAATTGTGATGTTAGGGTGTCAATTTTAGATCTTTCCTGCTTTCTCTTGTGGGCATTTAGTGCTATAAATAAATGTGTCCCAGAGGTTCTGGTATGTTTTGTCTTTGTTCTCATTGGTTTCAAAGAACATCTTTATTTCTGCCTTCATTTTGTTATGTACCCAGTAGTCATTCAGGAGCAGGTTGTTCAGTTGCCATGTAGTTGCGCAGTTTTGAGTGAGTTTCTTAATCCTGAGTTCTAGTTTGATTGCACTGTGGTGTGAGAGACAGTTTGTTATAATTTCTGTTCTTTTACATTTGCTGAGGAGTGCTTTACTTCCAACTATGTGGTCATTTTCGGAATAAGTGTGATGTGGTGCTGAGAAGAATGTATATTCTGTTGATTTGGGGTGGAGACTTCTGTAGATGTCTGTTCGGTCTGCTTGGTGCAGAGCTGAGTTCAATTCCTGGATATCGTTGTTAACTTTCTGTCCCGTTGATCTGTCTAATGTTGACAGTGGGATGTTAAAGTCTCCCATTATTATTGTGTGGGAGTCTAAGTCTCTTTTTAGGTCTCTAAGTACTTGCTTTATGAATCTGGGTACTCCTGTATTGGGTGCATATATGTTTAGCAGCGTTAGCTCTTCTTGTTGAATGGAAACCTTTACCATTATGTAATGGCCTTCTTTGTCTCTTTTGATCTTTGTTGGTTTGAAGTCTGTTTTATCAGAGACTAGGATTGCAACCCCTGCCTTTTTTTGTTCTCCATTGGCTTGGTAGATCTTCCTCCATCCCTTTATTTTGAGCCTATGTGTGTCTCTGCATGTGAGATGGGTCTCCTGAATATAGCACACTAATGGGTCTTGACTCTTTATCCAATTTGCCAGTCTGTGTCTTTTAATTGGAGCATTTAGCCCATTTACATTTAAAGTTAATATTGTTATGTGTGAATTTGATCCTGTCATTATGATGATAGCTGGTTATTTTGCTTGTTAGTTGATGCAGTTTCTTCCTAGCATCGATGGTCTTTACAATTTGGCATGTTTTTGCAGTGGCTGGTACCGGTTGTTCCTTTCCATGTTGAGTGCTTCCTTCAGGAGCTCTTGTAGGGCAGGCCTGGTGGTGACAAAATCTCTCAGCATTTGCTTGTCTGTAAAGGATTTTATTTCTCCTTAACTTATGAAGCTTAGTTTGGCTGGATATGAAATTCTGGGTTGAAAATTCTTTTCTTTAAGAATGTTGAATATTGGCCCTCATTCTCTTCTGGCTTGTAGAGTTTCTGCCAAGAGATCCACTGTTAGTCTGACGGGCTTCCCTTTGTGGGTAACCCGACCTTTCTCTCTGGCTGTCCTTAACATTTTTTCCTTCATTTCAACTTTGATGAATCTGACAATTATGCGTCTTGGAGTTGCTCTTCTGGAGGAGTATCTTTGTGGCATTCTCTGTATTTCCTGAATTTGAATGTTGGCCTGCCTTGCTAGTTTGGGGAAGTTCTCCTGGATAATATCCTGCAGAGTGCCTTCCAACTTGGAAAACACTCTCCCCGTCACTTTCAGGTACACCAATCAGACGTAGATTTGGTCTTTTCACATAGTCCCATATTTCTTGGAGCTTTATTCATTTCTTTTTACTCTTTTTTCTCTAAACTTCTCTTCTCGCTTCATTTCATTCATTTGATCTTCAGTCACTGATACCCTTTCTTCCAGTTGATTGAATCGGCTACTGAAGCTTGTGCATTTGTCATATAGTTCTTGTGCCATGGTTTTCAGCTCCATCAGGTCATTTAAGGACTTCTCTACACTGGTTATTCTAGTTATCCATTCGTCTAATCTTTTTTCAAGGTTTTTAGCTTCTTTGCAGTGGGTTCGAACTTCCTCCTTTAGCTCGGAGAAGTTTGATCGTCTGAAGCCTTCTTCTCTCAACTCGTCAAAGTCATTCTCCATCCAGCTTTTTTCTGTTGCTGGCAAGGAGCTGTGATCCTTTGGAGGGGGAGAGTTGCTCTGATTTTTAGAATTTTCAGCTTTTCTGCTCTGTTTTTTCCCCATCTTTGTGGTTTTATCTACTTTTGGTCTTTGATGATGGTGACGTACAGATGGGGTTTTGGTGTGTATGTCCTTTCTGTTTGTTAGTTTTCCTTCTAACAGTCAGGACCCTCAGCTGCAGGTCTGTTGGAGTTTGCTAGAGGTCCACTCCGGACCCTGTTTGCCTGGGTATCAGCAGCAGAGGCTACAGAACAGTGAATATTGCTGAACAGCAAATGTTGCTGCCTGATCGTTCCTCTGGAAGCTTCATCTCAGAAGGGTACCTGGCCGTGTGAGCTGTCAGTCTGCCCCTACTGGGGGGTGCCTCCCAGTTAGGCTACTTGGGGGTCAGGGACCCACTTGAGGAAGCAGTCTGTCCATTCTCAGATCTCCAACTCCGTGCTAGGAGAACCACTACTCTCTTCAAAGCTGTCAGACAGGGACATTTAAGTTGTAGAGGTTTCTGCTGCCTTTTATTTGGCTATACCCTACCCTACAGAGGCAGGCAGGCCTCCTTGAGCTGTGCTGGGCTCCACCCAGTTCGAGCTTCCCAGCTGCTTTGTCTACCTACTCAAGCCTCAGCAATGGTGGGCACCCCTCCCCCAGTCTTGCTGCCACCTTGCAGTTTGATCTCAGACTGCTGTACTAGCAATGAGTGAGGCTCCGTGGGCGTGGGACCCTCCAAGCCCGGCGTGGGATATAAACTCCTGATGTGTCATTTGCTAAGACCATTGGAAAAGCGCAGTATTAGGGTGTGAGTGACCCGATTTTCCACGTGCCATGCGTCACTGCTTCCCTTGGCAAGGAAAGGGAATTCCCTGACCCCTTGTGCTTCCTGGGTGAGATGATGCCTTGCCCTGCTTTGGCTCATGCTCGGTGGGCTGCACCCACTGTCATTCCCCCACTGTCTGACAAGCCCCAGTGAGATGAACCTGGTACCTTAGTGGGAAATGCAGATATCACCCGTCTTCTGGGTCGCTCACACTGGGAGCTGTAGACTGGAACTGTTCCTATTTGGCCATCTTGGAACCACGCCCACTTCAGAAATATTTGTTAATCAAAAATTCATAATTCCTCATTAAAATAAAAATATATTGTTTAATTTTAATTTTAAAATTTACATTTTTACATACCAATATAACTACTTTAACATTAATGTGTGATATTTCTTTTATCCCTTATAAATAGGAGGGCAGCTTATGACTAAAATCTTTTCAGTCACTGTTGTACAAATATATATTTAATCATACATGGTTTATTGAAGTTTATTGAGATGTTTTTGTGCAAGCGGTAACTCCAAATAATTGAAATATATCTCTTAAAAGATCAAAAATTACTAAATATATATTATACATTACAAATGTATTTCCTACTATAGTAATCACTTTCTTGAAAGAGAAGTGTATTATACTGAGTCTGTTTTGTAGCATCAGTATTTGTGACATTTCCAAGATCTCCCTCATAATATTTATCATATATATATGTTCTGATAGAAATCACTTTATGTGCACTCATATTTAATATTTTATATAATATTTATGACAACCCTTTGAGGTAGGCACTAATATCATCCTCGTTTTACAGATAAGGAAATGGAGGTAGTAGTACCATTTTGGAGGTAAAAAGAAAATGTACCTTAGAAGCAAATGTGGGTTTATACTCTGGGCTCATACACTCTACACTCTTGCAAGCAATAATCATCATTATAATACTGTGATAGTGTCAGAAACTGTTAAAATGTGTGGTGTTCTCTCTGTACTGTCTATATACAAACAGATTTCTCTTCCCCAATTTCTTCTTTTTCCACCTCAGTATCATCCACCTGAATGTCAGCTATCAATTTACTAATACTTTCAGGAATTACTAGTATTTACATCGCTCTTCTATGTGCTCCTTTACATGTTATCTAAATTTTATTAAAAATTCTAAGTAAAAAAAAGTCTTGAGGTTACTCTGATGTACCTTTGAATGCACAGATTTTATGAAAATTGTTTCATATTTAATTGCTTTTTATACTATCACGATAATTCCTCCTGATTTGTTGATGTGGAAGAGATGTTTGGAGAATAGAATATTGTACAATTTCTTAATAAATATCTCAGATATATCTCAGATATAGTATTTAATGCATTGAGTGTTCCATGTTAACATCAACTTAAAATAATGTTTTATAAGATTTCACATTCGCTCAGTCTTCACATTCATTTCTTATGTGATCAGAGAGGCACAGTGTTAGGGCCAAAAAACAAGGAATGTTGGCTGCCACCAGAAGCTGGAAAGAGCAATAAATGGATTTCTCCCTAATTTTTTTAAAGTGAGTGTATCCCTGCTGACACCTTTATTTCAGCCCAGTAATATACATTTTTTATTTTGGGTTTCTGTCCTCCAGAATTGTATGAGGATAAACATCTGTTGATTTTAGTTACCAAGTTTGTTGTAATTTCTTGCAACAGCCATAGAAAACTAATACACCCTTTCACTCACTTTCACTTTTCTGTCTTATATTAGATTACACATCATTGATTTATTGTCATTAATTATTGTTATGTTATCTGCTTTTAGACAATCAAATATTTTGTGATATGATTGTCGTGTGTTTTAATTATCCCCACATATAATTTATTTCCAAAATATTTGGAGACTTACAAGGGGATATTGATATATTAATTTATATTTGCCCTCAAGGTGATTACCTTCGTTCTTCATCACTTCCTCAATGTCTTGTTTCCATCTGCACCTAATTTTTCGTTGGTATAAATTTTGCTTTGGTACAGAACTTCTGTTGATCTAATCTTGCAATTACTGTTTATGAAAGAATATCTTAATTTTTTTTTTAATCTTGAGGGATAGTTTCACTGGTTATCAAAATCTAGTCTGTCAGTTGTTTTCTTTGTGCATTTTGAAGACATTCTATCTGGTTTTTAGATCCCATGATTTTTGTTAATAATCTGTAAATTCTGTTTTTTTCTCTTTGAAGGTGAGGGATGCTTTTTCCTCTGGAAAATTTAACGATTTTCTTCTTTTTTTTTAGTGTTCTGTGTTTTTACTATTGTACTGGGATGTTTCATTGCAATGTCACATTCACAGTACTTGATAATGTGTACTGATGTAATTTATTAATTTTGAAAAACTAACATACATTAACACTACATATTTTATATGACCTTTTTCCCATTTTCTTTCTTAACTTCTTATAGGACCCTGATAAGCCATATGTTAAAACTTGTCTCATATTCATATGTGTACAATACTTTTTAGTATATTTTAATCCATTTTAATCTCGATTCCTACATGTAAAATATTTTACACCTCTTTGGTTGTGTTGATCTATCATTAAGAAAATGTTTGATTTCATAATTTTTATCACTGTATTTGTTTTTAAAATATTTTCCAATTACATACTGAAAATCTCTATCTTATCTCATTTCAATATCTTAATTATCATACTGATTTTAAAATCTCTATTCTGAAAATTCCAGTATTTGAGTCTATCATATATTGCTATTAACCATTCTTTTATTCTTGGCTCCCAGTCATGCCAGCTTATCTCCTGGTATAAATAATTATTTTATTTAGTTTTATATTCAGTTATAAACTATAATATATAGAAAAAATAGAAAATATTTGAGGCTGTGAATCATGTTGTTTTTTTCACATAGAATTTAGGTTTGTTTTTGGGATGGGGCTAAAGGAATGAGAGATCAGATTACATTACAATATTAATATATTCAAGATCAGGTTTCAATTTTAATGATGACTATTATTTTTCTGGTTGACCCTTATATCCACAGTAGAGACTTTCCTCATTTCCCAAGTGAAAATCTAGGGTGTAGTAGTGTTCCCACTTCTTAGTGAGTTATGAACTTTAATATTTACACACTCAAGCCTAAAATACAAGTTCTACTTAGCTCCTCAGTTTCTCAGAAGCAGTTTCTACTAAGGTTTGTAGCTTCCCAGATGCTATTTTTTGTTGTTGTTTTTTTGAATTAGCACATAATTTAAAGAAAAAACAGAGTAATGAATGTCAGATTCACTTTACTGTATTTCCTTTCTTTCTAAAATTTTGTTTGCTCAAAATATTGTTACCTTGATGGCTTTTCAATGTTATCAAAATAAGTTTACAGACATCAATATCAATAAAAAGGAAGAGAAAGGAAATTTTAAATTTTTCTTTGCAGATTAATTAATAAGCAACAAGGTAGCTTTCTGTCACTGGAAAAGTAAGTGCAAATGTATTCTAAACTTAAAAGACTTCAATTCTGAAATTGTAAGAGATGTAAAATTTTAACTTTTCAGTATAAATGTCATAAAATATTAAATATTTACTCCTAATATTTTATCGGTAAACAAAATCATATCGAAGAAATAAACTCCCAGAAACAAGGTATTTGAAATCATGAATTTATCTGGCAAATACTTATTGGACAACTGCAATGATCTAAGTTTTGTGCAATGTTTACAAGCCCAGTTCTTACCTAGCAGACTATTTTGTCAGAGTAGCGGTGGGCAGATTAGAGACCCTGGATCACATTTAGCCAGCAATCTGTTTTAATATCACACATGAGCTCAGAATGTTTTTTAACATTTTTAAATGGTTGAAAACAAACCAAAAGAAGAATCATTAGCTTCATATGTGAAAATTATACAAAATTCAAATTTCAGTGCCCATAAATACAGTTTTATTGGGATGTAGCCAAACTCATTTGTTCACACATTTTTTTGATGGCTGCTCTTACACTACAGTGGTAGAATAGAGTAATTGTGACTGAAATCATATGATCCCGAAAGGCTAAAATATTTACTATCTGGTTCCTTGCAGAAAGTGCTTGCTGAACCCTTAATACAATATTGATTTTGTTTTTTCAACCAAACCAACAATGATCATATGTTGAAACTTGATTTTTTTGTTTACCATGCAAAAATAAAAGCTTTATTTGCAAACTTTTTTCTATAAACTATCATTATTTTCTATTTATTTTTTATTTTTTAAGTT
Source organism: Homo sapiens (assembly GCF_000001405.40). Taxonomy (NCBI): domain Eukaryota; kingdom Metazoa; phylum Chordata; class Mammalia; order Primates; family Hominidae; genus Homo; species Homo sapiens. The sequence continues at coordinate 132,453,841 of NC_000004.12, read as the reverse complement.
TCTATGGGTACATAGTAGGTATATATATTTATGAAGTACATGAGATGTTTTGATACAGGCATGCAATGTGAAATAAGCACATCATGGAGAATGGTGTATCCATCCCTTCGAGCATTTATCCTTTGAGTTACAAACAATCCAATTATATTCTTTATTTTTAAATATACAATTAATTTTATATTTGTAGACAATAGTCACCCTATTATTGTATCAAACAGCAGGTCATATTTATTCTTTCTCTTTTTTGGTACCCAATAACCAATCCCACCTCCCCATCAATCCTTCCCAGCTACACTTCCAGCCTTTGGTAACAATACTTTCATCTATGTTCATGAGTTCAATTATTTTGATATTTATTCTCACAAATAAGTGAGAACATGTGATCTTTGTCTTTCTGTGCCTGGCTTATTTCACTTAACATAATTATCTCCAGTTCCATTTATTTTGTGGCAAATGATTGGATCTCATTTTTTTTTATGGCTGAAAAGTACTTCATTGTGTATACGTATCACATTTTCTTAACCCATTCATCTGTTAATGGAGACTTAGGTAGCTGACAAATCTTTGCTATTGTAAACAGTTCTGCAACAAACATAGGAGTGCAGATTTCACTTTGATTTACTGATTTCCTTTCTTTTGGGTATATACCCAGCAATGGGATTACTGGGTTATATGGTAGCTCATTTTTTTTTAGGAACTTTGAAACCGTTCTACATAGTGGTTGTACTAATTTACATTCCCTCCAACAGTGTACAAAAGTCCCATTTTCTCCAAATCCTTGACAGCATTTATTATTGCCTATGTTTTGAATTTAAGCCATTTTAACTAGGGTGAGATAATATCTCATTGTAGTTTTTATTTGCATTTTTCTGATGATCAATGATGTTGAGCATCTTTTCATGTGCCTACTTGCCATTTTTATGTCTTCTTTTCAAAAATGTCTTTTCAAATATTTTGCCCATTTTTTGATTGGATTATTAGGTTTTTTTTTTCCTGTAGTGTTATTTGAGCTTTATCTATTCTGTTTATTTATCCCTTGCCAGAAGTGTAGTTTGCAAATTTTTTCTACCCTTCTGTGGATTGTCTCTTCACTTTTTTGATTGTATTCTTTTCTGTGCAGCTTTCTCACTTCATGTGATCCCGTTTGTCCATGTTTGCTTTGCTTGCCTGTGCTTGTGGGGTATTACTCAAGAAATCTTTGCCCTGACCAATGTTCTAGAGATTTTCACCAATGTTTTCTTGTAGTATTTTCATAGTTAATGTTTTAGTTGTAAGCCTTTAATCCATTTTGATTTTATTTTTGTATATAATGAGAGATAGAGGTCTAGTTTCATTCTTCTGCATCGGGGTATTCAGTATGCCCAGCACCATTTATTGAAGAGACTATCTCTTCTCCAGTGTATGTTCTTGGCAACTTTGTCAAAAATGAGTTTACTGTAGGTGTGTGGATTTGTTTCTGGGTTCTCTATTCTGTTACATTGGTCTATGTGTCTGTTTTTATGTTAGTACTGTGCTATTTTGGTTACCATAGCTCTGTAGTATAATTTGAAGTCAGGTAATGTGATTCCTTCAGTTTTATGCTTTTCATTTAGGATAACTTTGGCTATTCTAGGTCTTCTTTGATTCCATTAGATTTTTTTTTCTACTTCTGTGAAGAATGTCATTGGTATTTTGATAGGGACCGTACTGAATCTGTAGGTTCCTTTGGATAGTATGGATATTTTAACAATATTTTTCCTCCAATCAATGAACATGAAAGATTTTTCCAGTTTTTGGTGTCCTCTTCAGTTTTCTTCAGCAGTGTTTTATAGTTTTCATTATAGAGATCTTTCACTTCTTTTGTTAATTCCTAGGAATTTAATTTTATGTGTGGCTGTTTTAACTGAGATTACTTTTTTATTTCTTTTTCACATTGTTCACTGTTGGCATATAGAAATGCCACTGATTTTTGTGTGTTTATTTTGTATTCTGCAACTTTACTGAATTTGTTTATCACTTCTAATAGTTTTCTTGTGGAGTCTTTAAGATTTTTCAAATATGAGATCATACAATTAGTACACAAGAATAATTTGACTTCTTCTTTTCCAATTTGGATGTCCTTTGTCTTTCTCTTGTCTGATTGCTCTAGCCAGGATATCCAGTACTATGTTGAATAACTGTGGTGATAGTGGGTATCTTTGTCGTGTTTCAGATGTTAAAGAAAAGGCTTTCAGTTTTTCCACATTCGGTATACTAGCTGTGGATCTGTAATATACAGTTTTTATTATATTGAGATATGTTTCACCTATCCCTAGTTTTTTGAGGGTTTTGATCATGAAGGAATGTTGAATTTTATCAAATGCTTTTTAAGCATCCATTGAAATGATCATATGGATTTTATCTTTTATTCTGTTGATATGATATATCATGTTAATTGATTTGCATATGTGGAACCATCCTTGCATCCCAGGGATAAATCCCATTTGGTTATGATGAATGATCCTTTTAATGTACTATTGAATTCAGTTTGCTAGCATTTAGCATTTTGTTGAGGAATTTTGCATCAACATTCATCAGAGATGTTGGACTACAGTTTTCTTTCCTTTTTTTTTAAAATGTCTTTGGTAATTGTAGTAGAGTAATACTGGTCTCATAGAATGAATTAGGAAATATTCCCTCCTCCTCTATTTTTCGGAGGCATTTGAGTAGAATTGGTATTAGATTTTCTTTGAATGTTTGGTAGTATTCAGCAGTAAAACCATCAGGTCCTATGGTTTTCTTTACTGGGAGACTTTTTATTACAGCTTTAATCTTGTTACTTGTTATTGGTCTATTCAGGCTTTGGATTTATTCCTGATTAAATTGTGATAGGCTGTGTATGTCTAGAAATTTGTTCATTTTTTCTAGATGTTCCAATTTATTGGCATATCATTGCTCATAGTAGCCACTAATGATTCTTTGAATTTCTGCAGTATCAGTTGTACTGTCTCCTTTTTCATTCTAATTTTATTTATTTGGATGTTCTCTCTTTTTTTCTTATCCTGGATAAAGATTTGTCAATTTTGTTTCACTTTTCAAAAAAACAACTTTTTATTTTATTGATTTTTTTGTATTTTTTAATTTCAATTTTATTTCTGCTCTGATAATTATTATTTCTTCTCTTCTACCAATTTTGGGTTTGCTTTGCTCTTGTTTTTCTAATTCCTTAAGATGAATCATTAGGTTATTTATTTATTTATAGTTTTTTTCTCTTTTGAATGTTAGCACTTGCAGCTGTAAACTTTTCTCTCAGCACTGCTTTTTGCTGTATGCCATAGATTTTCATTATCATTTGTTTCAAGAAGTCTTTCAGTTCCCCTCTTAATTTCTTCATTGACCCACTGGTAATTCAGGAGCAAACTGCGTAATTTTTATGTATTTGTATAGTTTCCAGAATTTCTCTTGTTATTCATTTCTGGTTTTATTCCCTGTGGTTAAATAAAGTGTTTAATATTATTTTAAATATTTGAATGTTTGAAGATTTGATTTGTTTTGTGACCTAGCATTTAGTCTATTTTTAAGAATAATCCGTGTGCTGAGAAAAAAAAATGTGTATTCTGTAGCTCTTGGATGAAATGTTCTGTAAATATCTGTTAGATCCATTTGGTCTATAGTGCAGATTAATGTTTCTTTGTTAATTTTCTGTCTGGAAGATCTATCCCATGCCGAAAGTAGAGTGTTGAAGTCTCCAGCCATTATTGTATTAAGGCCTAGCTCTCTCTTTAGTTCTAATAATATTTCCTTTATATATCTGGGTGCTCCAGTGTTGGGAGCATATATATTTAAAATTGTTATATCCTCTTGTTGAATTGACTCTTTTGTATTATATAGTGACCTTCTTAATTACTTCTTATAGTTTTTGTCCTAAAATCTATTTTGTCTGATGTAATTATAGTGACTCCTGATCTTACTTTATTTCCATTGGCATGGAATATCTTTTTCCATACCTTTGTTTTCAGTCTATGTGTATCTTCATAAGTGAAGTGATTTCCTTGTAGACAACAGTTCAATGGGGCTTATTTTATTCATTCAGCCAGTTTATGTCTTTTAATTGGAGAATTTAGTCCATTTACATTCAGTGTTATTAGTGATAAGTAATGACTTACTCCTATTATTTTGTTATTTGTTTTCAGGTTGCTTTGTTGTCTCCTCTTTCTTCTTTCCTTCCTTCTGTCTTCCTGCAGTAAAGATGATTTTCTTGGTGATAGGATTGAGTTTCTTGCTTTTTATTTTTTTGTGTAGCCATTGTGTGTTTTTTGATTTGAGGGTACCATGAGGCTTGCAAATATTATCTTATAACCCATGATTTTAAGCTGATAACAACTTAACCAATTATTTTAACCTCATAACAACTTGACACTATTTGCATAAACAAACAAGCAAAAGAAAATAAATAAAAACTCTACATCTTCAGTTCGTTTCTTACATTTTAACTTTTTGTTGTTTCTATCTATATCTTATTGTACTGACCATATCTTGAATAGCTGGTGTTATTATTTTTCATTGGTTCATCATTTACTCTTTCTACTTAGGATAAGAGTAGTTTACACACCAGAGTTACAGTGTTATAATATTCCATATTTTTCTGTGTACTCACCAGTGAGTTTTGTATCTTCAGGTGATTATTGGTTGCTCATTAATGTCCATTTCTTTCTGATCGAAGTACTCTCTTTAGTATTTCTTATAGGATGGGTCTGGCATTGATAAAATCCCTCAGCATTTAGTTTGTCTGGCAAAGCCTTTATTTATCCTTAAAGTTTGAAAGTTATTTTCACCAGATATAGTATTCTAGGAGAAACATTTTTTGTTTCTTTGTTTTGTTTTGTTTTTACCTTCAGCATTGTAAATATGTCTTGTCACTCTCTCCTGTTCTGTATGGTTTCCTCTGAAAAGTCTGCTGCCAGATGTATTGGTGCTCCATTGTATGTTATTTGTTTCTTTCCTCTTGCTGTTTTCTTTAAACTTGATCTTTGGAGATTTGGTTATTAAATGCCTTGAGGTACTTTTCTTTGGGTTAAATCTGCTTGGTGTTCTATAACCTTCTTGTACTCAGATACTATCTTTCCCCAAGTTTGAGAAGTTCTCTGTTATTATCCCTTAGAGCAAACCTTTTATCCCTATCTCTTTGTCTACCTCCTCTATAAAGCTAATAACTTTTAGATTTGTCCTTTTGAGGATATTTTCTAGATCTTGTAGGTGTGCTTTATTGATTTCTATTCTTTTTTCTTTTGTCTTCTCTGACTGTATTTTCAAATAGCCTGTCTTCCAGTTCACTAATTTTTTCTTCTGCCTTATCAATTCTGCTATTAAAGAACTCTCTGATGCATTCTTCAGTATGCAATTTGCAGTTTTAGCTCTGGAATTTCTGCTTGATTCTTTTTAATTATTTCAATTTCTTTGTTAAATGTATCTAATAAGATTCTGATTGCCTTTGTATTTATTATCTTGACTTTCTGTTCATATCTGTTTTTCCAGGATTGGTCCCTGGTGCCTTATTTAGTTCATTTGGTGACATCATGTTTTCCTGGATGCTGTTCATGCTAGTAGCTGTTCAGTGTCTGGGCATTGAAGGGTTAGGTATTTATTGTAGTCTTTACTATCTGGTTTTATTTGTAGCTGTCATTCTTCGAAAATATTTCGAGATATTTGAAAGAACTTGGGTGTTGTGATGTAAGCTGTATCTGCTTTAGAGGGCACCTCAAGCTCAGTAACACTATGGTTCTTGCAGATTCATAGAGGTACTACCTTGATGGTCTTGGACAAGATTCAGGAGAATTTTCTGGATTACCAGGCAGATAATCTTGTTCTCTTCCCTTACTTTCTCCCAAATATTCAGAATCTCTCTGTCTCTTCTGAGCCACCTAAAGCTGAAGTTGGAGTAACACAAGCAACCCTGTGACCACCACCTCTATAAATGCACTGGATGAGACCTGAAGCCTACACAGTGCTGATTCCTGCCCAAGGCCTGCTGTAATCACTCCCTGGTTACTCCCTATGTTTTCTCAAGGCCCTGCTGCTCTACAATCACTACGTGGCAAAGCCAGCCTGGCCTGTGTCCTTCCCTTTAGGGCAATGAGGTTGCCCAAGCCCGAGGTTGGTCCAGGAGTGCCAGCCAAGAGTCAGGGACCAGAGTCAAAATCCTTAGATGTCTACCTGGTGTTCTATTGTATTGTGACTGCGCTAGCACTCAAACCACATTAAACATTCCTTCCCACTCTTCTCTTCCCTTTCCAAAGGGAGAGGAGCCTCCCGCCATAGCCACTGCCACTCTAGGCTATAGGAAATACTGCCAGACTACCTCCAATACTCCCTTAAGTCCCATGGTCTCTTAAGGCAGCTTGTAAATGCTGCCTGACCTAGGACTCACCCTTCAGGTCAGTGGGCTCATCTATGGCCCAGGACAGGTCCAGAAAAGCCATCCATGAGTGAAGTCCTGGAATCGGGGACCCCTAGAGCCCACTTTGTACTCTACCCCACTGTGGCTGTGCTGGTGCCTGAGGTGCAAGACAAAGTCCCCTTTACTTTTTCCCTTCTTTTTTCTCAAGCAGAAGGAGTGTTGCCCCATAGCCACCACAGCTGGTTATGTGCTGAGTCTCACCTGAAACCAGCAAGTCTCAAGCCTTACCCAAGGCCTTCAATGTAGTACCTGGGTATCACTTCTGGTTTTCCAGGACCCAAAGTCTCTTCAGGTAGCCTGTAATGAATGCCGTCGGGATGAATGCTGAAGGACTTTTCTTCCAGGTGGTGGGTTCTCTTCTGGCCCAAGATGTGTCTAAAAATGTCATCTGGCAGGTAGGACCTGGAATGAGGGGACTCTGGCTTTGACTGGTGCCATATCCTGCTGTGGCTGAGTGGGTATCCTAGATGTGAGACACAGTCCTCCCCACTCTTCCTTCTCAACTCCCCAATTGGAAGGAAGGGGTATCTTTTGGAGCCATGAGCTATGGAGCCTGGGGCTAGGAGAGGGGTGATGCCAGCACTCCTTTGGCTGTCCTAGCTGGTGTCTCAGTAGGTCATGTGCCCCCATGTGCTACACTGTCTCTGGGTTTAATTCTGCATTAGAACTCGCCTAGGAGTTGCAGTCCTTATGGCCTAGATTGCCTTTCAAGTTCACCTGAAGACACAGAGTGCTGTAGCCCTCTGTGGTGAGGTTTGCAAGCACTCAAATTTGAACTGCTGGGATAGGCAGTTCCCCCTCTGTCTAGAGCTGGTTTAAATGCTCCCTCCATGGGTGGGCATCAGCTGAGTTTGGCCTGGTTTTCCTTTCTGCTCTAACAGGACAGCCCTGAGGTCATTGCTTCACAATTGCTTTGTTCTCCTTCCCCCAGTGCCCAGCGATCTCTCTGTACCATGCTCCCTCTACAGGGATTGGGGGAGGAGTGGCACCTGCAATTCAGGACTGTTTTTTAAATCACTCCAGTGCCTCTTTCAGCAATATGAAGGTAAAACCAGGTACTGTAAGTGCTCACCTGATTTTTGGGTCTTATGAAAGTTTATTTTGTGTAGATAGTTGTTAACTTGGCATCCTTGCGGGGGTGACAATTGATATAGCTTTGTATTCTGCCATCTTGCTCCACCCCCTCCTCAAAACTTTTTTGAAAAAGCTTTCTATTTCTCATTTGCAAACATTCTGAAAGCATGTTTCTGTTTTGATTTTTTTTTTTTTTGGTGGGGGCACATACATTGGCAATGGGGCTTTATATATTCCTATGTGTAAACATCTTTTAAGGCTCACTTTTAACAAATTCAGAATTTCTAATTTGTAAAAGAGTTATCTGCAGAAGCTGTCATCATGCCAGCTCCAGTTCATTGCTCCTTTAGATTTCTAGCATGTCTTTTCTGTGTCCAAGGTTATATAACAAATCTTTCAAAATACTATAGGAATTATGTTACTCTTCAACATGAAATGTATTAACTATTTGAAAGTGCACACTTGCCTTACAGATATTTAAGCATATTTTGTTTGTTTTCTAAAAAATAGCCATGTTTTACAAAATGCCATCATGACACTGTAGTGTGAGGGTCCCCCACCACGTTACTAAAGAGCTGCCTGAACTCTGAAGGCTAGGCGGTAAGCCAAGGGCATGATGCCTAACCAAGAAACAGATGTATCTGAAAACCCAAACCTACCTACAGAAGAGTATCAGAGAACCTACCAAAGAAAGCAGTCCCATCACACACACATACAGTAGACGAAGAGCCAGAAAATCAGCTTAAGGGCAGCTTAGGAATGGGAGGGGCCCAGATCTCTATAGCTGTCCTGCTCCCACCCGGAAATGCTGTATATGTGAGTTTTAATAAACTCATCTGCTCAACAAGCTGGACTTGTCCAAATCATTCTTTGGTATGTCAGCACCATCCCAGTTTTGGGGATTGGGGAAGGGGCATTACACTATGTTTTTATCTTTACAGACACCTGCTGAACAGATGTATAAATTAGTATAGATTAAGTGAGTTTGGCTGGTAAGAAACCAGATAGAAACCTCTTATTTCTCATAGCTTACCTAGTATATCTGTCTAAAAAAGTTTTTTGAAAACTACTTTTCTGTTGTATGGCACTAAGTTTCAAAAAATAAATTTACTGGGCAACTTAGATACTTTCAAGCAAATTATTTGTGAATCAGGTCCAAGTGTTAATCCAAGCTTTAATATTTCTAATTAATTAACCTTGGCTACAGCCGCTATAAGCTGCAAAGCAAGGGATTACTGGGTGACTTATCTGAGAATAAAACAAATCCATTATTTGAACAAAATATCTTTAAAATGGTTGCCTGAAACCTACAAAAGCTTTGGAGCATGTTGATATAAAAATCACTCTCAAAAGCTATTTAATTCCCTTACGATACTAAAACCCACTTAGCTTTAAAAGAAAAAAAAAACCCTCAAACTTTAAATACTTGGAGATTAATTTTGTTGTCTTTAAACACAAATCCATCCATTCTAGTGTTTGAACAGGAATTGAAGTAAAATACTTATGCAAACTAAAGCAGACATTATTTTCTAGAGGCAAAGTGTGTTGATTGGGTTGAGACACTTCTATTTTTTAGCTCCTTTTCTAGAAAATCTTGAATTAAGCAGTGAAATAACTTTTATTTAAATAAGAAGCTAATGGAAAATTCAGAGAATTTTGCCTTTATGGAACTATGTGTACAGATAAACCCAAGAATCCTATGATGTTATATTGACTTGAAACAATTTTATATATTTACTTTACATAAAATAATGGTTATTAGAATTTGAAATAAACAAGTAAACACAAGTCAATTCTCATATATTTCTTAATGATTGATCAGATTTCCTAGGCCTTGAGGAGCATAAATTCAGTGTAAATGAATTTCAGTTCTGATTCTGCCTCTTAGTGTCACTTCAACATAATAATAATTAATTTAACATATTTGTGGTATTTTATTCATTATAAGTTCATAAAAATTAAATTATTGGAAAAGGTCACATTCCACATGCTTTTCACTTAATGATAGCTTATAGGCAATCACAAAACCCTATAATACATGTATCCCAAAATATTCTAAGAAAGATTATGAATTAGAGGATGTCAAGAGTCAAATGGGGAAATATGGGTAAAAATTACACATTGAATATATCTACTTTTGCTTAATTTGAAACATTAATGAACATTGAGTAGGTTTTTAGAACACAAATCTATAAATGAGTCAAATGAAGCAAAAAAAAAAAAAAAACAGCCATGGAATTTTAGAAGAAATGGAGTAAATTAATGACTGGTAACTGAGTTGGCTGACCAGAAAATGATGAATTCTAAACATACAGTAAAGAGGTTTTTAAATTCCATGTGATTTAAACCTTAGAATCTTTCAACTCGCAATAATTTTGAGCCAAATCATATCTGAAAATAAAAGTTCAATAGACTACCACTAGAATAAGAACAATTAAATAAAATGTTTAAAGCATTTTGATTTTTTAGGTGCTCTTTCTAATATTATGCAGACATAAAGCATAAACCTCTCTCCCATCACAGCACAAAATTATAAAGGTAAAGTTTCTTTTCGGAGCCTAAGATAGAGAGTTAATGGCCTAGAGACTGTTATATTTGACTGAAAACAGCCATTCTAAGTGAACATATTCACACTGAATGCTGGGCACTGCAGCCCTTTTCTGCTATTCAGCTACCAGTATTCTGACTTACAAGACCATTGGCATCCAGGTGAGACAGAAAATGTATCTTTTTAGAATATCCAACCATCTTGATAAGATTGAAAAAGAGATATTATTATCACATATTCCCCAAAGAAATAACCCACGTAGATAATCTAGAATGCACACAACACTTTGTAAGACAAACCTCCTAATGGAGCTTCCAATTAACTTTCTATTCTGTCACTCTTAAATATAATCAGGGAACCAAAGATTATCTGTGGAAACACTCTAACCTGAAAAATAGAGGCAAAATGTGACTAACAGTAAAATATACCGTGGAGGATACAGTTAATATTAATAACAAAGAAAATATCAAATATCGATATTTAACCTTTATTGTACAATTTGTAACAATTGCACCTGTTACGTTCAAGCATCTATAACTATTTGAAAAAATTATTTTGAGTATTTCTAATTGTTTAGAGCAATTAACATTTTACAATTGTATTCTTCCTTATAGGATTCCCATAGGAAAGAGAGACAATAAATCTATTTTTTAAAAATAAAATAAAACTTATTATCTCTTGCAATTTCTGTACGGGTTCATTGGACACTTTTAGAATTCTAAGATACATTATAGAACCTTACTGATTTTTCCCAATAACAATATATTTTGCTATTGTATTAATCTAGAAATTATTTTATTAGTCATCAATTATTCCTAAATAAATACCGAAATTATAAGAAAAGGGAAGAACAATGAAATCTTATAAAAAATGATGCAATAGTGAAATGGATCATGCTTCTTGAGTTTTCTAATGGCATTGTGCAAGGTATTGAATAAACTTTTACAGAGTATAAAAGTAGGTAATCAATATCTGCAGTCTACCTGAAGATTTTTTTTTCAGCATGAGAAATATGATTTTTCATGTTTGGCCTATATGCAACAGAAAAGAGAATAACACTGACAGAGAATTATATTTTGCAGTTACTAGGTAAATCAGAAAATGAATTAAATGAGACAGATTATACTCTAAACACTAATTATGATAGTAAAATTGATCATAAATGAAATATCAGAATATGAGTATTTAGATGATGATCTCCCACATACATTTTCTCAACTTTACAAAGTAATGAGTAAGCAATATTTTCCAAACAACGAAAAATGGTATTTTGATACAGTTTTAGTAATTCAGTGGAGAGAAATTCAAGATACAATATTTGGGCCACAACTTTAGTCTAAGCCAGTTTCCTGAAAGATTGTGAGACAGTATTCTTTCATCTTTTACAAAGTCTGTGTACCAAAATTTGCTGAGATAAAACAATTTGCAATGTTGAAATTATTCTTACAATTTCCTTAAAAATTTTTTATTTTTATTAATCCTTTTTTACTATCCCTCTATTCTAACTTTTAAAAATTATGTATATTTTAAACATAAAAACAAAAAAAAGATTCATTAGAATCAGATAGTAAAATATGGTGATATTTTCTAAGGGATAATATTTTTTCAAGGAGAAGGCAATATATCCATGAAGAAATAATATAACTTTATTAAAAGAAAGATTGAACTAACAAATGAATGCTCTTGAAAAATAAAACTATGTAACAGAAATGACAAAAAAGTGGAAAATAAATATAAGTAAATTTAACTAAATCTTGAATTAAAAGCCAAGAATTGGAAGATAGGAGATAAAAGAAAAAAATATATATATATATTTTCCTGATGATCCAACATGCAATCGAAGAGAACTTCTATAAAAAGAGAAGGAAATTAAATTACTATATCATTATTAAAATAATTTTAAAAACTCTTAAATATTAAAAGACATGGACTAAAAACTGAGTCCACTTAATACCCAACACGACCTGTGGGAAAATATGCTCAAGTCACATCATTAAGGAATTTTATACCTGTGAAAACAAAGGCCACTTTAAGATTGAAAGAAAATACAAAGTTGCAGTCAGAGGAGTAATGATAACAATAGCACTGAACTTCACAACAGAAACATTGACAAATAAAAGACAATGAAATATTTCCTCATAGTGCTGAGGAAAAATGATTCTAACCTAGACCTCTATACCCAATCCAGCTCTCAAGCAGATGTGAGGGTAGAATTAGTACATAAGTTGTACAAATTGTTAACAACAACAAAAACATTGCCTTATATAAAACTTTTTCACCAATAAACTGGTAGAGACATAGCAACCAAAATAAGACAATAAACCAGGAACAGGAAAAAAGTAGAATCCTTTAAACAAAAGAATCAAAATGAAAACAACAACAACAAAAAACAAGGGATTAGCCAGCATGATAATGAAGGGAGACCCAGGTATACAGACAGTTGTAGAACAAGTCCAGATTAAAGTAGTGGGATTTAATAAATAGGTTGTTAAAGATTCTTGTCATAGATGTGTCTTCTCTAACATAGATGTGTCTCACACACTTAAATCTGACTGAAGGAAGTCCTATTCACTAAAGAAAAAAATTATTCCTTACTGTAAAGACTGCTTCTTGCAGAGTGTTTAAGGCATCATACCAAATAATGAAAATTAATGCCTTGCTCCAGTGATTAAAAATCAGTTGCATTAAAATCTTGGTTAGGTTTCCTCATTGTAATTATAAAGTAAACTCAGTCCATGAATAAATAAAGTTCATACAGATAAAGTATTCCCCTCCAACAGTTTCCCACAATGTTAATAAGCAAAGTATGCTTCAGCACTAATTTGTCATACGTTCAATTACTCTCTCTCTCTCCCTCTATATATATATATAGCTTCTCACATATATATATATATATAGCTTCTCATATATATATATACCTTCTCATATATATATATACATAGCTTCTCATATATATTATATATATATGGAGAAGCAATGAAGTGAATCCTTTCTTTAGTATTTTCAATATTTCAACTTTTTATGATTTTGAAAAACTCATTGCTATTATGATTACTCCACAAAGTCTAGAAAACAAATAAAAGGCATTAGATTAAGCGGTCTTATAAGAAGGGGCCTGAAAAATTGCACATTTCCTGGCAGGTACCTCATACTCACTTAATCTCCCTTTCTGAGACTATGCCAGAAAATCTGCATGGTAAACACCCCAGGAATTTTGATACCCACAAATTGCAGATTATTGCCTTAAAAAATGATTGTTGAGCATAATTTTTGAAGTTTATTCTTAAAAAAACAATAATTACATAAAATGTCATAAGAGCATAGAACATGGTGCCAATCACAATTACTTGTTGAACATAAGTGATGGCATAAATAAGGCAATAGATTAGGTATACAACAACTTTAGGTTTCTGGAGATTGGGGAAAACTGATGAGAAAATGTCCCATCAGAAAAGAAGAATGCATAATGTGACTGCCAGCCAATGGTTGCCATATAGGAAATTGATCTTAGTGTTGCTAGATCTGATTTTTCAAGAAATAATGAAAATAGGCATTTTAAAATTTGAAGTCTCCCAAGTTTTAAATCTAGACAATCACTTTTTTGACACATTGCTGGGCATCAATATGGAAGCCAAATATACTGATTCGTGAGCTGCCTCTATCAAGCAGGCTGGCAATTAGCAGCAGTTTATGTCTTGCCGTTCCTGTGTTATGGGTAAGATGCTTGCTGTGTAATGAAAATTATTTACTTTGTAGGCAGAAAAATAAGTATACCCTGAATCTCTTTCCTGTTACCTTGAATAGTGCATTTTAATGAACATGCACCTATATTTTTTTATTTCCCAAATCATTTGTAAGCAGATACTTCTGAGATCAGAGGAGAAACTTGAAATTCTAATAAACAGAGGCTGTGATCTCCTGGGCAATTATGTGATGTGCGTATGACAAAAGGACTGAAGTAGTAGTGCAAAGTTACTAGCATACAATTTGTGTAATTTTAAGACCAAATTCTTTGTCAACAGGTAATCAGTTCAGACATGACTAAAATTAGAGTATCAAAGTACTGGAAGTTCACTATAAGAACATCTTAGAAACATAGGGCACAGAACTATGATAATTTCATCCATCTCCCCTCTCATTTTAGACTATCTACCCTTTTCCCATACTCTGACATCTAGTCTTTTCTTTAGTTTCTTTTCTTTTTTTTTTTTTTTTTGAGACGGAGTCTCACTGTGTCGCCCAGGCTGGAGTGCAGTGGCGCGATCTCGGCTCACTGCAAGCTCCGCCTCCCACGTTCACATCATTCTCCTGTCTCAGCCTCCTAAGTAGCTGGAACTACAGGCTCCCACCACCACGCCCGGCTAAGTTTTTGTATTTTTAGTAGAGACGGGGTTTCACCGTGTTAGCCAGGATGGTCTCCATCTCCTGACCTCGTGATCCTCCCACCTCGGCCTCCCAAAGTGCTGGGATTACAGGCGTGAGCCACTGCACCGGGCCCTAGTCTTTTCTTAACAAAAAGTTTCCATAGCTTGGTAGGAGTGGGAATATAGAATCAATACTGTAAAATTTAATGTTATATAAATAATATAGTAACATAAAAATGACCATAGAGCCCAGATTCAAAATACTTCAAGTCTCCTTTCCGCTTAACTCCACTAAATTATAAATTCTGTGAGAGAAAAACACAGTCATATTCAACTCTATATCCAAAGCACAGAAAAAGAACTTGTCACATAGTAGAAGATCAATGAATATTTGTTTAATGGCTGAATTACAATACACCTAGCAATGTCTAATATATTGGATCCTTTATTTAAAATATTTGGCTTTATTTTGTGTAGACATTCCTAGACTTCCCTTAACAGCTTGTATTGGAGCTAAACGGTTAATGAAAATAGATTACTATTTGTTGACTGCCTGTACTTTGTCAACAATGTCGGAGGAGCTATAAGTTTTTTTTTTTTTAAGTCATTGCCCTTAGAAACCTATCACTGGTGGGATAGTAATGAACCTGACAGGTATTAAACACAGTGTGATAACTATTATATAAGAATTATGAAAGCACAAGGTGGATGATACATCTAAGTCAGAGTTTAGGGGCAAGGGATTTTTCTAGTGGAAATCTTTTTTAAACTGAGACTTGAATGATGCAGAGTAATTCGCTATTGGAAACATTTAAGTGGCTAAAGTTAACGTGGTAAGAAAGAATAGGCAGCTTTAAGCTGAAAAAATAGGAATTAGATTGTGTCAGTAATCATATGGCTATGACAGTGAACTTGATCTTTACTCACGAAGGAACTATCTGATTGCAGTACAGAGAATATTTTGGAGAGAGTACCAGAAGAGTTGTATTCGGACTATTTGTTTGAATTCTATTAAAGTAATACGTAATACGGGGGAGGAATGGTGTTGCCACAAATCATCTGAATAGCTGAGATGGGCTGAAAAGAACTGGAAAGATTTGAACCTAATGAAGTTGCTGTGTGGTTCTTAAAAAGCAGTAGAATATCAATTATTTCATAGAGTGTAACATGTTGAATGGATGGAATTTATTGATTTATTGGCAGAACCGTGAAGATAAAAGGAGTCAACAATTATGCTGAAGTTTCAGGCTTTGAGTTGCTAATGGCAATATGAGTGCAGAAGTCATTCTGTGACTAATGAAGTTTTAAAAGAGAATTTTGTTTGTTATTTATCTTAAACTTTCCAATGCCAAAATTAATAAACACATAAGATTTCAAACTTTTTCTTTCTCTGTATAATATGTGACTTCTACAGATTGGGTTTTTTTCTGGTTTTATATATGTTTTGCTGAGAAATATAGTGTGGTTTGCAGATCTCTCTTACCAGAATTAAATGAGACCTACTCAAGGAAGGCTGAATTCAAGCGTTATTTACACACACACATTAGTATTTGGTAACTCATGGAAGGTTAGTAATAATATCATGTTTATTTGTAAAATGTATTTTAATAGAATGTTTAGGAGTTACTTTTCCTATAAGTCACTTGTCATTTTTAAAAGCTACTGAGCAAATTTCAGTCCAAAATTAAGAACACATTAGGAGAAACTGCACCAACATACATATTCATAGCTTTATATTGATTTACCCTATGTTGGTAATTTCTAACCTTCAGCAGGGAATGAATTGGGGTGTTTCATCCACATTATTATTAGAAATGTGAAATAAAGAAAGGGTATGGAGGGGAGATATTGTGTATGTTCACTAAATTTAAAAGATCTGATTAAAATATAGGACAAGTTTTATAGCATTATAAAATCTATACTAAAAATATTACAGATATATACTAATTATGTTTGTTTAAATTTTGTGGAATAAAATTTAGCTCATTATAAATAATTTAGTTTTCATAATACTCCTTTTTAACACAGAAACAAAAATGGTATCATTTATTTGTTGAAACTTGCTCAGTGCTATAGTTAAATCCCTATGTATCTGTCAAGCTGTCTTACTCTCACTTGAGAGCCTGTCAGAAATAATCATTCTGTGGTCTCACAATCACAAAGGTGCAAACCCCAGATATGCTTGCCTTTTGTATGTCAAGAACTGTGCAGACATGAAATGTTTAATAAAACTACTATGGACACACAAGTAAGCACCCCCCCTTGTTTTTGCTTGGTTTTCTGATTTTGTTCATTTTATTTTGTTTTATTCAAGAATAGGTCCTGAAACTTAATGTGAAAGTTTTAAAAAATGTAGGCAGAATAATTTATTAGTTTACTAAATATATCTATAAAATATAAAGTTTAGTATGAAATTATAGTATGACAGTGAATATTTTGTTAAGTAGAATCCATAATATGAAGTTATTGCAATGTTTATTTATAGAAGCCAATACCTTTAAACTCTGTTTAAAGAAATCTGGCACCACTGTAGTTGTTCCCTAACACATAACGTAAAAGGCAAAATGAGAGTAACACCCTTACAACTCTATAAGAAAACACTGAAATATTCATGGACTAGAGAAAGTGGTTAGTTTATACATTATTACAGGTCGCACATAATTTAAATAAACTATTAATATAAATTACAGATATTTTAGAGATTAAATATTATTTCCCATTTTCTAAATTTTATATATCCTATGAAACTCCTTTTTTAGAAATAACATTTGAAAGAAGGTTTATATTATGTAAATAGATTCTGATTTTCTGTAGCTGCAAGAAAAGATACACACATACATACACACATATATATATATATGTATATACACACATATGCTTATCTTGATATATCTTCCATCAACATTAAGTGGGCTTTAGTTTCAGTCCAAATGTTATAATTCTTTTGTCACAACCAAGAAAGAGAAGAATATGGTTATGAATAATTGAACATAATAAACATAAAACTTTGGGCCTACAAGATAGTTTTCAACATATTCATCACAAGGAAAACTGGTAAAATGCAAAATTCAAATCAGTATGGAAACGATGTGATTTCACTGAGAAAAAAATCCAATTTATATATTAAGTTCACAAGATTGCACCACACTTCTTCTAGTATATGATCTTAATGGGGATTATGAGGACATCTACTAGTAGATTTTATCTCTGCTACTGACTTGTAGAGTATTAGTTAAAAATATAGATACTATATTCCTGGAGGGTTATAATTTGATTGAGTAGCTTCAGACTGGAGCCAGAAGCTCTTAATTATTTTCTCTTCTTTTTCTTTACTTTATTGAGCCTTTTCTTTTTAACAAGCTTCTTGATCCTTGATAATTCTGAGGATCACTTAAGTTGCAGAATCACTGTGTAAAAAGAAAAAGAGACTTCCTTTTTGTGCTTTGGAAGCTCAGATTTTGTTTTTCCTCAGTATATCTTCTTTCACTATTTTAACCCACTAGAATGGACAAATGGCCAAATAGCTGGAAAAGAAGAAGAAGAAAGAAAGAAGGAAGAGGTGGAGGAAGAGGAGAAGGAGAAGGAGGAGCAGGGAAGAAGAAAGATGAAGAATAAAAAAAGAAAAGGGTTTAATGTAAAAAACTGAAGATTACTTAGCTCACTGGTTAAGAATGTTATTTTATCATCAGGGTGCTTGGGTTCCAATTCAGACTCCATGCCAGGTTATTTCTATTAGTTTAAGCAAGCTATTCAAGCTCACTAAATCTCATTTTTTATAATTAAGGACTATAATGATATCTGTGTGTTGGGAAGAGAATTAACAGGTCAATACATGTTACAACATTTAGAATAGTTTGTAGTGTATAGTGTGTTTTTTCATTACTATATTTACATTGATTATTACTGTTGCTATTATCCTAAAGTTGGAATTAAAGGTCCTACTGAATAACTCAAAAAGTTCTTATAGAAAAATAATTCCATGGCCTGTTAATAACCCTATGATATGATTTGGCTCCCCCAAATCTCATCTTGAATTATAGTTTCTGTAATCCTCAGGTGTCATGGGAGGTTCCTGGTGGGAGGTAATCGAATCACGGGAGCAGTTACCCTCATGCTGTTCTCATGATAGTGAGTAAGTTCTCATGAGATCTGGTGGTTTTATGAGGGTCTTCCTTCTTTGCTCAGCACTCACTTCTCTCACCTGCTGCCTTGTAAGACATGCCTATTTCACCTTCTGTCATGATTGTAAGTTTCTTGAGGCCTCTCTAGCCATGTGGAACCATAAGTCAATTAAACCTCTTTTCTTTATAAATATCCCTGTCTCAGGTATGTCTTCATAGCAGCATGAATACGGAATAACATGCTATACAATATAAAAGTAGTGTCAACATATCAACATATGATAAAACAAGAGCAACGTGCTAGTTGGAATAAATCATAAGCATGCTGCTCATCTTATACTAAAACAAGCATTCAAGGAAAACAAAACAAAACAAGAATAAACTCTTTTCCTTGTACACACTTTATTTTTCCAATGAGTCATATACATGAATAGAGCAACACTTTCATTTTCTTATTCTCTGTTTTATAATACACACACACACACACACACACACACACACAAATACTATAATTGCCAAAAGTAACTGTTATTTTGGGCACATAACATGCTTTAAACTGTTATGCTTTGGGCAAAAATATTGAGAGAACTTTTTAGAGTAAATAATGAACAGCATGTCTTTTAACTATAAAACAAAATAACCTGGTTAAAGTCTGACACCTGACTAAGGTGGTATTGAAATCCATCCAAGTCTCCTTACTCCCAATGCAAAACTTTTTCTACTGCTGAAACAATAAAGGAAATTTAAAAATTAAACAATAAAAAAGAAAAATTAAATTTTTAAAAATTGTTATACCTCTAAATAAATTATTTTCCACAATTTGTTAGTAAAGACAATCAAATTTTAATGTGACTTTTGTTTTATCACCATGTTTTCCGCTTATCCATCTATATTTAAATGTTAGTGTACCATTACTTTCTACTTTCCAACCGCAAATCTTTCATCCATTTATTTAATATTTGTGCTTTTATCTCATTTCTTTTGAAACATGCTTTTACACTATTTAGAAGATAGATAAAAATTAAACCTTAAGGAAACTGTTTTCTCCATTAAGTTTAACAAAAATAAAGTAATTTATATCAAATAGGAAAAGTATTACATATGTGTGGGAAGTTCAGTTTGAAATATTAATTTAATTTAATGAATAAAGTACAAAATATAAGAAATTTTGGGAGCCATATGCCTTAATGAGTGCTTAAAAATATCAAATATTTATCTTGTAGAAATAAGCTAAACAATAACAATTTTTTAATGATAATAAACAAGCATGAGATAATGATAATGACTTTCACATGTGTATTAATTATTTACTGCTGCCATAAAAATTTGCCACATAGTTAAAGGCTTAATACAACACTAATTTATTGTGATTCTGTAGGTTGGAAGTTTGGTGCGCTCAGCTGATATTTGTGCTTCAAATTTCACAAGTTCAAAATGAAGTTGTCAACAGGACTGGCCTCTGGAGACAAATCTACTTCTTGACTAATTCAAGGTATTGACAGAATTCAATTGGTAAAACTGAAGTCCTCCTTTCCCTGCTGCCTTTGGCAAAAGGTCATTCTCAGCTTCTAGAGGTAAAGAAGACAGATAATGTCTCTGCACTCATGATGTTTACAGTTTTATGAAAAATACTATCCATAAATTTTTATTGTAAGATTATGTCAATTATAATAAATAAATTTAAAAAGCAGGTAGTAAGATAGACATTAAGGTGAAAATATGGGTGTCTCTAGGAAATGAACCAAGTAAAAATCTGGGGAAAGAGAATTCCAGGAGGAGAGAATACACTGAACTATGGTAATAGTCATGAGTGTGATTGCCCTATTCCAGGACCAGCAAAAAGGCCAATGTGGGTAAAGCAAATGAACAAAGGCAATGGGAAAGGGATTATACTATTTTAGTAATTTACAGAGTTAGAGCATGGTGAAGAATTTGAATATTAATCTCCATGTGAGAAGGAGGTTTTGAAAGAGATGTGTATGGATGTAGTCCAATGTATGTTTTACTCTTATTTTTATCTTGGAGTTTCCTTTAAAATCTATTTTTACAACATCTAGGCTAAAGGACTTTTAACATGGCTAAATTACGTTTCACCATGTGAAACCACTTACTGTTTTCACTATATATAATGTTCAAAGCTCCTATTTTATCTCAAAGGTTTGGATGGTATTCTTTGTTTTAAAACAACAAAAATATTCAATGCTTTAGATTGCTAAAATTTAAAAACTATTTTGTAATATGGCCCCATGAACATAAAAATTGCCTTTATTGAGATTATAATTTGGTATAATATAAAAATAGAGAGAAATTTGACTTATTAATGTGTAAAAGTGATACAGACAGGAACAACATAAAGAAATTATGTGTTTTTAGCTTGATTCACATTTTACCTTCTGTGAATAAATTTCCTCATAAATGATCTACAGAATAATTTTTTTGTCCAAGTTCTGGACAAATTATACAAAATAAAATGTATATTTTAAGGAACTTCTTTCCTATCTTTTATAAAAAGGCAAATAACCTACAGTTTGCACTTTATTAAGCAATATATAAAATATGTATGTTTTTCCATTTTGCATGCAGAAATGATTAAATTTATATAACTGACTGACAATCATGATATGAAAATATTTAATTGGAAATGAAATAATTCTGCTTAATTGAGTTGTGTATTGTCCTCAATGAAAGAAAAAAGAGTCACCCTTTATGAAAACAGCATACACAGAAACTTGAGTACTTTTTTTTTTTTTTTGCATCCCAAATACCTCAGGATAATCCCAATGTAAAGATTGTTGCTGAGCTCCCATGTTAAAACAGGTCATATCTCTGTCTGTTTTCAGATTCTCTCTGAATCTGTAAATATTGTTTCCAGAAATTACAGGTTCGAGGCAACTGGGTTCATTTCTAGATATGCCCTGAGCAAGCAGAGAGGTCAAGATTACTGTTGCAAAAGCTGGAGATATTCTTTGGGACAGATAATTATAGCTGAGAAAGATAATGCAAGTGGGGTTAAATTCAGATAAAGTAATAATTTATTATAAAGCTTCCAGTTTTAATGCATATTTTGCAAAAATTGTTACAAGAATATGCTAGTCCATAAAAATTTTGGTTATACTATTTCAGTAATTTAAGGACATGCTACACAGCTTTAAAATAATGCTAACAAAATATGTTTAATAGAATTTAAAGATTTATAAGTGTGCAAGGGTAAAACTTTTAAAGTATTCTCATTTTTCTTTTCTCAGAAAGTTTTTATGTTCATGCTATTTTCATGAGATTTTTTATTAGTCAGGCTTGATTATTTATAAGAGAAATTTAAAGCTACTAAAATTACATTTACATTTACTAATATGCAAATTTCATATTTTCCAACATTGAAACTGTTATATACATATTAAAGATGGCTCCCAATTGATCTTTTTCCAAGAAAAAAAAACCATATAAGAAATGGGAGAATGATAAACGATTATGATCAAATGCTAATACAGAACCATTATAGAACATTGGTGTATTAGTCCATTTCCATACTGCTATGAAGAAATACCCAAGAGTGGGTAATTTATTAAAAAAAAAAAAGATGTTTAATGGACTCACAGTTCTACTTGGCTGGGGAGGCCTCACAATCATGGCAGAAGGTGAATGAGGAGCAAAGGCATGTCCTACATGGAGTCAGGCAAGAGAGCATATGCAGGGGAACTGCCCTTTATAAAGAAAGCCATCAGATCTTGTGAGACTTATTCATATTCACGAGACCAGCACGGGAAAAAAACGCCTCCATGATTCAATTACCTCCCACAGGGTCCCTCCCATATCATGGAAGGATAATAGGAACTACAATTCAAGATAAGATTTGGGTTGGGACACAGTCAAACCGTATCAATTGGTTGTAGCAGCACAGAAAGTATTTTGAATAATTGTCCAGAATATAATAAAACACTTTGTCTTACAATAAACTGGGCCGGAGATCTACAACTTTCCTAATGGTATTATCCATTTCATCACCAAAATACAAATTAGCTTATTATTCCATATTATTTTGTAACATTATTCTTTCTTTTAGGGACTTCTAATTTTATGTTTATTATTTCAATAAAATATACCCTTTACCAAAATAATTTTAGTTTAATGATATTTAATGAAATATGTAAGTACAAAATCATGAATTCTATCAGTTATTCTACCTACAATTTGTTAAAGTGGAAAGATGTAGTATCTTCATATATCATTAATGAAATATGGAATGTTAATATATTAGCAATATAGTCTACTATATGTCAGTAATACATTATATTTAGACATTGTTATATCACTAAAAGACAAAATGTATTTAATTTTATAACTGACTTTCCTACTTAAAGAATAAAGGAATAACAGAAAGTAAATTATGTATTAGTTTCTGAATCCAAAAATAACAACTGAAGTATAAACTTAAACAAAAACCATGAGGTCTATGTTTAAAATTACTGATTTGATAACAGAAAGATTTGTTTCAATATACTTTGTCTTTTTCTTAGTATGTTAAACTATTTTTTGACAATATTTGCACTTGGAAACTATGTCATTGAATTCAATATTTGAATATTATGGTAGAATTTAGAGACTCAATTCATAATTTAAAGAGAGTCTCAAAATGCTAACACAAATGTTAGCACATAAAGCTATCATTGTGGTGCACTGATTGATTCAGTCAAGGTGTGATGTTAGTGGAATAGTTCAAAAAGCTAAATAATAAATCCATGGCAAGTGAGATATTAAATGTGGTAAGATACTATCACTATCTGATAGAACTGATGTTTGACCCAATACCCATATTCACATTAACTAAAATAAAAAGAGAAAAATATTCCTATCTTCCGGAGCTTCTTTTTCCAAAGATGGTTTCTTCTTTCTACTTTTCTTCTCTGTAATACATTTAGAACAGATAGATGAGGACATTCTAAATAAAAGCATGAGGACATTAAATAACCAACTATATCTTTAAACAATTAAATACATGATAGTAGTAGAGTCCTTGTGATAAAAACAAATTTAAATCATATTTATCAACTTGCCACTAAATACCTTAAATTTGTATACGTTTTTTATTCCAATGATCTAAAAATATGTATCCAAATTCTTGTTAAAACACTATAATATAAAATACCAGCCATCTGCTGGGCAAAAAGCCCAGGCTGTGGGCAGCACACTAACTGCACACCCATAGCACTACTGCCCTGACCAAGGACAAACTGACCTTGAACCAGTGCATCACCAGACCACCTACAGACATACCCCACAGTGCTCTCTGACTCTGCCAAGCTCAGAGGACCAGTGGAAACCAGGGATTTGCAGGTTTTCTGGTGATCTAGCTTTTGACTTGGGCTGTACCTAAGGGAGGGGAAGTGTTGCCTGAGAGGGCATCCCTTGGGCCTAAGGAAATGTGGGCACAGTGCCAGTGGTTAGAGGGGGTTTCCCAAAGGCCTGGGAATGGACTTGGTAAGGAGGGTTTTCTCTTGCACCCTTCCCCATAATTCCCATCCCAGAGCACTGCAGAGAATTTACTGAAATACAAAAGAGTCTATTTGATGACCCTTACTCTTAAGCACCATCTACTAGCTCACAGCCTGAATTATGCCACCAAACAAAAATAAATTCCTTCAGCATGCAATGCCTGTGAAGCGCAATGTAGGAAACTAGTCACAACTAAGAAACCCATACAGACCCTTGGCCCTCTGAAAGCACCCAGAAATAAAGCCAGTTGACTATATACAAAATACACCACATTCTAATACTCAAGGGAAAAAAAATATGAAAACAAAAAGCCTCATCCAAACTGCAACAACCTCCAAAAGTTAAAGAAACACAAGCTTGCTCAGATGATTAGGGATCAGCACAGGAACTCTGGCAATTCAAAACTTGTAGTGTTTCCTTACCTCCAAAGAATGACACTAGTTCCCAGCAGTGGATCCTAACCAGATTGAAATATCTGAAAGGACAGATGAAAAAATTCAGAATCTAGATGGCAAGGAAGTAAAAGAAGATTCAAGAGAAAGTTGAAACCCAATCCAAGGAAGCCAGAAAACAATCCAAGAGTTGAAAGGTGACATAGTCATTTTAAGAAAGAAATAAACTAAACTTCCAAAATTGAAAAATTCACTACAGAAATTTCAAAATAAAGTAGAAGCTTAAAAAACTAGACCAAGCTGAGGAAAGAACTCCAAAGCTCAAAGACCAGTTTTTCGAATTAACCCAGTCAAACAAAAATAAAGAAAAAAGAATTGTTTTAAATGAACAAAACCTATGAGAAATATGGGATTATATAAAGAGAAAAAACTTATGGCTCATTGGCATTCTTGAGAGAGAATGAGAAAAAGTAAGCAACCTAAAAAACATATTTGATAATTTTGTTCACAAAAATTTCCCAAAGTTTGATAAATAAACAAGATCCTACTGTCTACTGTATATAAGGGACCCATCTCAAATGTAATGACTCGTATAAGCAAAGTAAAGGGTTAAAAAGATTTATCCCAAAAATGGAAAACAAGAAAGAGCAGGGTTTGCTATTCTTCTAGCAGGTAAAATATGCTTTAAACCACCAACAGTAAAAAAGGACAAAGGGCATTACATAATGATAAAGAGTTCAATTCAACAAGAAAATTTATCTATCCTAAATATATACTCACCCAATATTGGAGCACTCAAGTTCATAAAACAAGTACTTCTGGACTTATGAAAAGGCTTAAATAGCCACATAATAATAGTGGAGGACTTAAACATCTCCACTGACTGCGTTAGAAAGATTATGGGGCAGAAAACTAACAAAGAGACTCTGGGCTTAAATTCAACACTTGACCAATTGGACTTAATAAACATCTACAGAATACTTCACCCAACAAATATAGAGCATACAATCTTCTTATCTGCATGTGGAACGTACTCTAATCTTGGCCACATACTTGGCAATAAAGAAAACCTCATAAGCTCAAAATAATCAAAACCATACCAACCATGCTTTCGGACCACAGTGGAATACAAATAGAAATCAATACCAAGATTATCTCTCAAAACCACCCAGTGACATGAAAATTAAACAACTTGCTCCTGAATGACTTCTAGGTAAACAACAAAATTAAGGCAGAATTTTTTAAATAAATGAAAAAGAAGAAACAACATCTCAAAATCTCTTGGATACAGGAAATCTAATGTTAAGAGTAAAGCTGATAGTGGTAAATGCCTACATCAAAAAGCTAGAAAGATCTCAAATTAATAATCTATCATAGCACCTAGAGGAAATAGAAACACAAAAACAAATCTCAAAGTTAGCAGAAGAGCAATAACTGAAATCTGAGAGGAATGAAACAAAATTGAGAAACAAAATTTCATAAAATAATCAACAAAATCATAAACTGGTTTTTTGAAAGGATAAACAAGATCAATAGACTACTAGCTAGATTAACAAAGAAGAAAGCAGATTTAAATAAGCAAAATCAGAAATAACAAAGGTGATATTACACCTAATCCTCAAGAAATGCAAAAGATCCTCAAAGACTATTCTGAACACCTCTCTGCACATAAACTTGAAACTCTAGAGGAACTGCATAAAATCCTAGAAACATATAATGTTCTGAGTCTGAAGCAGCAAGAAAGTGAAATGCTAAACACACCAATATTGAGTTCCAAAACTGAATCAGTAATAATAAAAAAAAAAGCCTACCAATCAAAAAAGTCACAGACCAGATAGATTCACAGCTGAATTCTACCAGGTGTGCAAATTACAGCTGGTACCAATCCTACTGAAACTATGTCAAAAAATTGAGAAGGAGGGACTCGTCTCTAACTCATTCTGTGATGCTGGCATCAGCCTAATACCTTGACAACCTGAACAAAACAAGGATACCCACTCTCACCACTCCTATTCAACATAGTACTGGAAGTCCTAGCTAGAGCAATCAGGCAACAGAAAAAATGAAAATAAAAGGCATTCAAACAGGAAAAGAGTAAGTAAAATTATCTTTCTTTGCTAATGATATGACTGTACGCATAGAAATCTCTAAAGACTCTGCCGAAAGAATCCTAGAACTGATTAATGACTTCAACAAAGTTTCAGAATGCAAAATCAATGTACAAGTATCAGTAGTATTTTTATACAACAATAATATGCCAACTGAGAGACAAAGAATGCAATCCCATTTACAATAGCCACAAAATATGAAATATCTAGAAATACATTTAACCAAGCAGGTGAAAGATCTCCACAAGGAGAACTGTGTAACACTGCTGAAAGAAATCATAGATGAAACAAACAAATAAAAAAGTTCCATGCTTATGAACTGAAAGAATCAATATAGTTAAAATAACCATACTGCTCAGAATAATCTACAGATTCGGGGCTATTCCTATTAAACTACCAATGTCATTTTTCACAAAACTAGAAAAAACTTTTCTAAAATGCATATGGAACCAAAAAGGGCCTGGATAGCCAAAACAATCCTAAGCAAAAAGAACAAAGCCAGAGGCATCACACTACGTAACTTCAAATTATAATACAAGTCTACAGTAATCAAAATATCATGTTATTGGTACAAACAAGAGACAGATCAACCAATGTAACAAAACAGAGAACTGAGAAATAAAGTAGTGCACCTGAAGCCTCTTCAGCAAAGTTGACAATTATAAGCAATGGGGAAATGACTCGCTATTCAGTAAATGGTGTTGGGATAACTGGCTTCCATATGAATAAGAATGAACCAGGGCCCCTCCTTATAGACATATACACAAATTAACTCATAATGAATTCAAGATTTAATGTAAGACATCAAAATATAAGAACCCTGGAAGAAAACCTAGGAAATATCCTTCTCAACATGGGCCTTTGCAAAGAATTTATGGCTAAGCCCTAAGAAGAAATTGCAAAAACAAAAGTTGCCAAGTGGGACCTAATTAAGCAAAAGGTTTCTGTACAGCAAAAGAAATTATCAACAGAGTAAACAGAAAACTTAGAGAATAGGAGAAAATATTCTCAAACTATGCGTCTGACAAAGGACTAATATCCAAGATCGATAAGGAAATTAAATGAATCAACAAGAAAAAACAAATAACCCCAAGGACATGAACAGACACCTCTCAAAAGAAGACATACAAGTGGCCGGCAAACACTTAAAAATGCTTATCATCATTAATAATCAGAAAATGCATATCAAAACCCCAAAGAGATACCACTTCACCCAGTCAGAATGGTTATTATTAAAACATCAAAGAATAACATATTGGCAGGGCTGTGGAGAAAAGGGAACACGTATACACTAATGATGGGAATGTAAATTAATTCAGCCACTGTGAAAAGCAGTTTGGAGACTTCTCAAAGAACTGAAAATAGAACTACCATTCAACCTAGCAATCCTATTACTGAGTGTATACCTAACAGAAAATAAGTTATTTTACCCAACAGAAAATAAATTATTTTACCAAAAGGATACATGTCCCCCCTCCCCATATTCATTGCAGCACTATTCACAATAGCAAATGCTTGGAACCAACTTAGGTCCCCATCAATGGTGGATTGAATACAGAAAATATGGTACATATACACCATGGAATACTATGCAGCTATAAAAATGAACAAAATCATATCCTTTGCAGTAACATGGATACAGCTGGAGGCCATTATCATAAGCAAATTAACAGAAACATAAAATCAAATACCACATATTCTCACTTACAAGTGGGAGCAAAAGACTGGGTACACACAGACATAAAGATGTGAACAATAGACACTGAGGACTACAAAAGGGAGAAGGAAAGAAGAGGGGAACGGTTGGAAAAATCACTTATTATGTGTTATGCTTACTACCTGGGTGATGGGTTTAATGATACCCCAAACCTCAGCATCACACAATACACCTTTGTAACAATCCTGAACATGTATAATTGCCTTGATAATGAGCTCTTTAGCATTCTACATTATTTCCCTAATATTAACAACCAAATTAATTTATACTCTTGATTCTAAAAGTTGAAAAAAACATTAAAATATGAAAATAAGTGAGGTTTCCATCTGAATCACATATGTATATTTTCATATTGATAAGCATTTATTAATATCTTTAATCTGTAATTTGTTAAATTATCATATGTAAAATTATGAACTCATGCAAATTATTTCTTCATTTGTAGAATCTACTTTCATTGATAAAAAATTTAGCTGTATTAATTATTCCTATGATTATAAATGCACTATTTCTAATTCGGAATTTGTGAGTCAATGGCACAGAACCTTTTAATTTTTTGGTTTTTTTACAGGGTCTCACTCAGGTTGCCCAGGCTGGAGTGCAGTGGTGTAATATGGGCTCACTGCAGCCTCAACCTTCCAGGCTCAGGTGATTCTCCCGCATCAGCCTCCTGAGTAGGTGGAACAACAGGCATGTGCCACCAAACCCGGCTAATTTTATGTATTTTTAGTGGAGATGGGGTTTCCTATGTTGCCCAGGTTGGTCTTCAACTCCTGGGCTCAAGTGATCCCCCTGCCTCCCAGAGTGCTGGGATTACAGGCATAAGCCATCACACCTGGTTAGAACCTTTTAAATTTTTATATGTAGTTTAATAGAATATTTCCAAATGATTAGTTATGTATATCACATATTTTGCCACCTAACTGCATACTTTTCCATCACATTCTCCAGTGAAAACCCTATATTCCACTCAAATGAAATTGCTTACAGTTACTCTAAAGCACCTCTTACATTGTTTATTTGATAACATTTTTCTTCATTCATGAATATATTGCCTTCTCCATTTCTGCCTATAATAAATGCCGCAAATTTTCAAAAAATATATGACACTTTTCAACATATATTAGATCATTCTTAATGCTCTATCCTCAACTTGCATTGTAATTTTCCCTTTAAAATTCCAATAGTTCTTGTTTCTAAATGTTTATTACCATGCCTATTATATTACTTATTCTTTCCACCTTCTTATCATTATTCATGATAAATTACATCGTGGTTACACTCTTCTCCTGCACACTAAACTTTTTAAGAGCAGGAACTGCAGGTTGTATATAAAATCTAACATCATATCTTGAATAACATAGGTCAAAATTTAAAAGTGTTGGCTAAAGAATTTGTTTAAAGGATAGAATTTAGCTGATTTTTCCTTTTGTTCACAGTAATCATAAAAGTTGTAGTCCATCCTTATATCTATCCCACAAAAAATCCAAAGTCCTTTAAAGTCCTTTGCCTTTTGAATACTGGGAGTATGACACAAAATTAAAAGTGAGCACATCACTGAAATAAGAGCTGAATATATTCTTGCTGTGTTATGAATATAGCATCCTGCATGTTATACACGATAACAACTGGAGGCCTGCCGTATGTTTTAAACTTCTCACATTGTCAGAACTATTGATTATCAATGCATCATATTTAAAATTGCTCATCTTGTTAAATTTATTATTACATTAATCCAAAAACCTATCTATATCAACTACTTGCTTAAAATATATAATTGTTCCATTTTGTCAAGAAGGCTGAAATTAGAAATCTCATGAGTGGTACGTTTATCTGACTTAGTTCACAACACTCCAGATACACATTCCAGACACATATATTTACCTTATTTTCAGGTAAAACAATAATGGTGCTTGTGCTTTCCTCAAGGTCTTGAAGTCAGGTCACTTCTACTGCCTCCCTTCCTCATCTGCATCTATACAGATGAGGAACTCTGTATATTTTGCCTATTTGCAGAAAGAGATCACCAGGCGTGTGCCTGGCTCTTGGTAGGGTTGGAGTTTCGGGAGCTCTGGTTTCGCTGGTTTCTGAATGACAAATGCGGGAAGTCAAGTTTCCTGGAATGAACTTTAAATAATGGGAGACTAAAAAACAAAGGGTGCTGGTTGATGAATGCTCAAATAGTGCATATAGTCTATGCAAAGTAGAATGTAAGACCTCTGACCCTGTCTGCTGAGAGTAACATTTTATTATAGCCGTTGTTTAGAATTAGTGGAACACGACAGTAATAAATACCATTCCACCTTACTGCATGAAAATGGGGCAGAGGGATGCCCTTCCTATGACTGGTAGCCATCACATAGGAGACCAGCCCTTCAGTTCTGCTTATTAATTTGTGATCAGCCAGATAATGTACTCCTTATATTTATTCTCCCCTTTCCCTACCTCATTCCTCTTTTACCCGCACTCCCCCTGGTATTGCACTCCCTAGTAAGGATTTTTTTTTTTTTTTTTAGATGGAGTCTTGCTGTGTTGCCCAGGGTGGAGTGCTGTGGTGCTATCTCGGCTCACTGCAACCTCCACCTCTCAAGTTCATGTCATTGTCCTGCCTCAGCCTCCCGAGTAGCTGGGACTACAGGCGCCTACCACCACACCTGGCTAATTATTTATATTTTTAGTAGAGATGGGGTTTCACCGTGTTAGCCAGGATGGTCTCGATCTCCTGACCTCGTGATCTGCCTGCCTCGGCCTCCCAAAGTGCTGGGATTACAGGAGTGAGCCACCGCGCCTGGCCCCCAATAAGGATTTTATAAAATATTTTGTTTTAGCATTTGTCTTCTGGAAAACTAAAGTTAAACATTTAATAACCTCGCATACCATTGTAGCTATATCTGTTACCCATTGTTACATATATGGAGTCCCCCACGTAGCATTTAAATAACTGATTTTCCCAGAACATATCATGCCTATTTTACTATTTTGTTATTTATCTGTGGAATTATATGTTTTGCCTTATCCGAGAACCTTATACTCTATGCAAACGACCTGGCTGAAGCGTTCTTATTAGGTGTGGTAGGGATTGGGAAAGAAGACTGAACAGAAATTTATGAATATATTATATAAAAATATGTGATAATTTGGCCTAACATTTTATAAAGAGAGATAAAAATATTATTACAAAAAGAGTGAGGTTGTTCATGTACGATTGTAACAAACTTAACTCATAAATTGTACTGATTATTTTTTGCTTTTCATTCGAAGATACACTCACATTTCTCAGACCTCAAGAAGTGGTTGCCCAAGCAGAGTAACACAGAAGATAGACATGTGATGTCTACAAACATTAAATACATGCTGTCTGTAAGTAAGAAGAATATGCTAGAATGGTATATCCTTTAGATTGCTCTCACAAACGAAGGGAGGTGTGGTTTTAAGAATAAATTTTAATATACATAATCTGTGTTTCTTATTTCCTAGATATTCACTGTGGGTACTTTCTGGCTATTAATGATTTTTAAAAATATGATGCCTTTATTCACCCTATCCTTTAACATGTATAGTAGCAACCAAATGTATATCACATTATGGTGAATTTTTTAAATTGATAATTATTACTTGTTTCTATCATTGTCTCACTCAATAGGTGAGCTCCTTGAGGGCCTGGCGTATAGAAAGCACCAACGTAAATATTGAGTGGAATTATTTTTCTATGCTAGCTTTATTTTCTACATTTATGTTTATTCATTTATCAGTTGAACAGCCTGTTCAACTGCATTTGATATTGGTGTAAAAATGGACACAGAAGATCCTAACATTCATCATCTACTACCTTCCTCAATGTTTCCTAGGAAATATTAATTGAAATCCAAGCTCGCTCTCTCTCTCTCTCAAACTGGAATGCTTGTTAGTATATAATCTCATCAATGCTATATAGTTGCAATCTGTCAAAATTTTGCAAAATGAATAAATGACGTGTAATTAGCCAAACCTCAGTACTCCCATGCTTAACCACTACAGATAATGCTTCATTGAATATTGTGGAGCTCCTGGCCATCAGTAGATAATATTTAAAGAACAACATTTCAGCATCAGGAAGGTAACTGAGAAACTAACTGTTATACAGAAAAATTTAATTTGGGAAAGGTAAGTCAATGAAAATATTAGTGAGCAATTTAACTTTAAAGTTTTCTAAATAGTTTTTTTGTAAAATACTTGTAATATGTTACCTGAACAGTTCCGCTAGTTCAAATGAGAGCACAGGTCTCATCTTTGTTATGAAATTTTTAAGAATTGCATGGCCCTTAATTTATCTTATTCCTTAAATATAAAGGTATTTGATTGGTAGTGAAGAAAATAATTAGAATGTATAGAAATGATTATTTTTAATAAATTTGGTTTGATTATGTGGCCCCAAGGTCTTTAAGATACAAAATTTAAAAACTTGGTGTTAATATTGAAATTGGACGTGAAAAAGAAATGTCAAGAATGGTCTATAGTTTTCTGCTTACATTTTTTTCTTCTTTTTTTTACATAGTTGTCGAGACCATTTAGTGTTGAAAGGGTATTCTGCAACAAATGATGTAGGGGGAAAATGAATATTCATATGAAAAACAATAACTTTCAATCCAAATCTCTCACCATATACAAAATTTAGTTTAAAATGAATTATAGTCCAATATGTACAACCTGAAATTATAAAATTTCTATAAGAACGTGTAGGAGAAAAACTTTGCAAAGTAGGATAATGTGGAGATTTCATTGATAAGGATACGCAATCCATTAGGTAAAAAGATTGACACATTGCACTTCAGTGAAATTAAAAATGTGCCATTTGAAAGACAGATTATTAACATGAAGAAAAGATAAACTACAGACTGGAAGAAAATGTTTGTAAAACACATAAATAGTGTCTAGTATGTGGGGAATATTAAAATTATCTAATCATAATCATTAGAAAATATACAACAGAATAAAATGAGCAAAAGTTTGAACAGTTTACCCTAAAAGATGGCAAATAACCACATGGAAAGATTCTTAACATCATTACTCAATAGGAAAATTAAAATTTAACTTAGAATGGGCTACCACTACAAACATATTAGAATGACTAAAATTAAAATAAACAAGCAACCAAAAATACTAAAAGTACCAGTTTCTGGCACAGAAAGAATATCGATCATCTGGAAATTTCATATGCTGCTGATATAAAATTTAAATAGTTCTGACACTGAGAAAAATATTCAGTTTTTGAAATAAAATTAAATAAGCAGTACATGACCCAAATCAAATATCCCACTCCTAAGTATTTACCCATAAAAAGTGATTACATATGTTCATACAAAAACCATACATGTGTATAAACGTCTTATTCATAACTGTCAAATTAGAAATGATCTAATGTCTGCATCTGAAGAATGAGAAACAAATGTGGCACATCCATACCATACACTCAGAAATAAAAGGGAGCATTCTACTCATACCTGCTAAGCTATGGATGAACCCACAAGTATTATGCTAAGTAAAGTTTCCAGGGATAAAATGAGACATACCACAGGATTACATTCAAATGATTCTTTGGAAAAGGTGAAACTCTAGGGACAAAGATCAGGTTATAGTTTATCAGGGCCTAGAGTATAGAAGGACATGATTATTAAGATACAAAAGGGAACTTTAGAGAGATGATGGAAATTTAGAGATGACAAATGATGTGTTCAATTTACCTAAATCACCAGGGAGTCCTTATATATTTAGTCACTTCTTAATTTTAACTTCAAAATATGTGTATTTGTGTATCGTATTTATGATTTTTTCTAAATTTGTGTATATTATTAAAACCAGCCCATTTGTCTCATAGAACTGATGCTTACTGTTTTGGATAAACACAGAAATTGACCCTTTGGTCTTAAAGCTTGAAAATTACATTTGTCTTATCTGAGTTCCTTTCTCAGAAAACAAAACCTCAGTCTTCCCAGATGGTATCAAGAAACTGAAACTCACCAGATCACCACTGCATACAGATGTTGAGATGCCAGGCCTCTCATCTATCATGATTCCTGTTTACAACTCTTATTCCTTACTCTTCCTAATTCCTGTTTTCCTATACGTGAAGAAACATTTTTTTGTGTGCTATATAAACCCCTAATTTTACTTGGCCAGGGAAATAGATTTGAGACTGTTTGCCTACCTCCATGGCTTCAGCACATGAATAAAGCCTCCTTCCCTGGCAATACTCATTGTCCTAGTAATTGGCTTTCCATGTGGCAAGCAACAGGACCTAGACTGAACAGGACACTTGGCATTTTGGTAACAGATTTTTGTTCCCTGACCACTAATGTGTTGCTCATGGCTCAGCTGCTGTAGACTGGGAGTTTCAAAAGCCCTCCTAAGCGCTGCCCAATGCCTCTTTGGTTGGAGCTGGGTTTCGGTCTCTCTCTCTCTAGTCCCACCACTGCTGACCCCAACCACATTCTTGATCTTCTAGAGAGAACAGCCTTTGAAATTTGACATCTGCATCTGGATGGGTGAGTGTGTTTTGTGGGTACCAGACAGAGGTATTTGCTCCTCTCAAATTGGGGAATTCTCAAGGAATTTCTGTTGGCAGGTTAACAAGCCCAACAGACTTAGAGAGAAAGAACACAGGCTGCTTGAGTGTGGACACTCTTGGGTTTGTTGATTACTATAGCTGTTGGATTGTGTTTTGGTGATTACTCTTGTGTGTGTCCTGTCAACTGGAAAAGCAGGATAGAGTGACTTATATCCAGGGTTTAGGCTGCTGTTCTAAGCAGGCTCAGGCCTGGTTAGTATTTGATGTTTCTCTATGGTGCTCTTTGGCCCCAGTGTTCTTTGGAGCATGGGGAGGTTTAGCATTTAAATGTCAAGCTGCCAGGGAAACTGCTTTACTCAAAATTTTGGATCTCAGCCTTCATTGGATTACCCATTAGAGAAAATAAAATTTAGCCATATGAATATGTTTGTAAACTGGTAAGTCTGTATAGCTATCTCATGGCTAGAGTTCTCAGGTAAAATCTATTAGATATTTGTGTGTGTATATACATGTTTGGATGTGTTTATGTTTAAGTACATTTATTATTGTATATGCTATTTCTAACAAATTGGCTTTAAATAAAAGAGTGCTCAAAAATTAATAAATATAAGCATTTTTTAAGTTCATGCAATATAAGTAAATCTTTCATAAACAAGCTGGCTTTAAAATTATTGGTAAAATAAAAATAGGCATGTCTTCAGAATCATCACATACATTTTTGTCTGGATTTTATATTTGTATCTACTAGATATTTTGAGGTGTCAGGGTTTGGCACAGGAGGTTATAAATATATAAACTTGGTGAAAACCAAAATGATCTTTCTTTGTATGATTTTTTTCTGATAAATAAGATTAACTTATTGTTGTTGGTTTAATAAAAACAGCTGAACCTTCTGAGTTATTGGTGAAAATACTCCTGTGTTTAACTTTAAAATTCTCAATTAGGTGAAAACACTTTGCACAGGGTATCAAAATGGTTGACAATGAAATAGTGACTAGCTTTGTCTAACAGCTAGTTTTCATAAATAATCTAGATTAACTGCTAAAAATGAATTAAATATAAATGGATAAATGCTGTAGGTGAATTTTTTATGTAATTTAAAATCTAAAAAATCATTTTGAATGTTCATTGGATATCTGAGTCATTTCAAATTAAGAACAGCTTATTATATATGAAAACATGTTTTTAAAAATTGTAGAAAAGTTCTTATCTATAAAATGCTAGTATCTGATAGGCAGTTCAGGATTTCTTGCTTCTTAGGTTTTCACTAAAATTTAAGGTTACTAAGAACAAGAATTCTAGCTAACATATAATTTTGTATATGAAAGGTACCAAGGAAGATGTGTTCTTATTGAGAAGAAGAATTTTGTCTAATTCAGAAGTTATCAAAAGGTCAATTCAACCTATGAATTTGAAAAGTTTATTTATGAAACAATGTAGAAAGGAACCAAAAAGTACGGGGGAAGATATGGGGAGAAAGCTATGGGTATGAAATGTATATTTGTTAAGGAAGATTACAATAAAGATGAGAGAATAATTTCTATGAGAAAGAATCTTGTATGGTAAATTTTTATCCTAAAGTAAAATGACTGGTTGTTTGAAAAGAAAATTTAGGACAAAACAGAAAGTCCACGCATGTCATAGATGGTCTGTGTAAGACACAAGATTTTTTTTTTTTGTTTCTCTGTGTTTCACTGTTCATGCACGAACAGAGAAAGTAAAAGTTGAAAACACTTAGATAATAAAACATTCCTTAAAAGCTGATAAAAAATTGAAGAACTCTGGCTAGTTAACATTGCTCAGAGTTAAAGCTCTTAGTCTTGTTGAAGGTAAAATAAAAAAAATTATAAAGTCATTGACAGTTTGGCAGTGCTTTTTTAATGTAGTTAAGTATAAAGCCAGATGTAGCACAGAGCCAAATTTTATGACATAAATTGTTGCATTGCTGTTTCACACTACATTTGCTCTTCTGAAAAGATGGTACTAAAGTACTTACTGGTCACTTGCCTGAAGTTAATTAATTGCACAAAATGTATAGTGGCATTGATGGACTTAAATGCACTAATTTGTATAGCAGGGACAAAATATCCATCATGTGTGTTTTTAGACTCTGGGTAACACTGTCGTCTCCAAGGTAAACTGAGTAGGAGAAAAATTGGGCATTGTTTTTCTGTTTATGTTTGCTTTTAATTTTCATTTATTTGCCACTTGTTCTCCTTTAGGTTTTGCTTATTATAAATACATATAAAACTATTATTTTTTTAGTTTCTAATGGAAGAATGTATTTAATTCTATGAAGAGTCATTTTGTTTCCTATGTATTTGCAATTATTAATCATTTACTCGATTTGTCTGAAATTTCTAAGCTCCATTTGTCCAGCCTCCAAAAAATAATGGAGATAACAAGCCTTTTAATATTAGATTGGTTTTGCTTACATCTGATGATCTAGAGAGCTATAAGAGCTTTAAGTTTTCTTACCAAAAATAAAATTTATTTTTACAATTTCAGAATAGAGATAGTACCTTATTGATTTTGTTATTTGGAAAAGTTGGTGGCAGTAGAAATTTTTAAGTTGTGCTTATTTCTACAGTAATTCAATGAAATTGATAATATAGTTTGTTTCAGATCTTTTCCTTTAGGTAATGAAGAAAAGCTGTGATATGGGTACAAAGTTTTAATGTTCAGGACAGATTGGCCTTGTCCTGAAGACAAGTATGTTGACTAGGGTTTCTCTCAAACTACTTAGGTTGTGTTTTCCATTATTAAAATTAAGTGACATTCACTTGGATTAAGCAGTAATAAAAACAGTGATACTTTCTGGTGTTTTTTTCTTAATTTAAGGCTTTTATTTTTGTTGGGACTTCATGTGTGTACACATGAAAACAAAATATGTACAAGTGTTGCACTGGCTTGAAAAGTCTAGTGGCGAAAGTTATCAGTTATCTAATTAGTTGGCAGTATTGTATCTTGAAACCAATCTTGAAAATGTGTGATGATACTCTTTTAAATGGATGAAAATCAATTATTGAATGCCTGGTTTTACTTTGTCCCTGCTTTGTTGTACAGTATTTTAGTGAAAGGAGATTATTTATCCTCAAATTGAATTTTCAAAACTAATATTTGCATTTACCAATTTTACATAATGGAGAGAAGTTAATTGTCTTTGATAAGTTTGACATAGGAAGATGATATTTTGTATGGCTGTAGTTACAATTCTGTCACTACAATGCTAGTTATGAGATATATGCCAGAAGTAACCTAGCTACTTTAATGCAATGGTTTCAAGTGCTACAGGCAGTAACTACTAGATAGCAAATCATAGTGTTGTCATTTGTAATATGCTAGCTGAAATGAGAGGACTTTCCTCAGTATTAGTATACCAGACCACTAATTTCCAAATGTTCTTCTTTATGTTTCTAAGCATTTCATTAAACATTGGCTTCTGTTCTTAGCATAAATGCATACACTATACTTGATCATTTATATTGTAAATAGAAACTTATTTCACAGCACAGTGGTCTATCTGCATATAATAAGTAGAGTCCTCCTTTATTTTAATTTTATTTCTATATTGCTTTTAAAGTCTTTCGAGGATCACTTTGGTTAAATGAATAACTATTATTTTACAATGATGTGTGATTTTGTTTTGATCAAATGTTTTGATGCTTCGAACATCTCTAATACGTGTCCTATTAACTAACCCTTATGCTGTTAAGTTACAGGGCTTTGATTCCTGGGTCTGAAAAAGGTCCTGACTTCTGCTATATCTTAAACATTGACAACAGTTAGATCCTCTTGTTCAGAACAGGGAGAAGGTGACAATCAAAATGAACTGCTTTTGTGAGACACAGGGCCAGAAATTAAAACCACTCAATCCCTCTAGGTCCAGGGACTATCATGAAAGAGGTGGGCGTGTAAGATTGTAAGGGCCAACTTTGAGAAATAACACTAGTTATTGTTGTTGTTTTCTGGTGGTTATATGTACCCTTATGTAGACCTTAGAAAGGGCTTACCATTCTAGGCCAACGTTGAAGATACAGCTTAGCTTGAGAGACCAGGCCAGATTGTGGCCTCTTAAATGGCAAAGGAAACTTCTTGGAGTCAGAAGCAATTCTGTAACCTTACTTTTGGGCTTTTAGTTTTCAGCTTTCATGTTGCTTAAAAGGGTTTTGCCACTTTCATTCGTATCTGACTTAGAACATTTAATTGGCTAAAAATCCTTTAATTCTAATTTCCTTGGCCACGGGACAGGTTGGACCTAGGGCAGGTAGCCATACTAACCCAGCAACAGTAGGAAACAAAATACAGCCCTAAGACCCTCACTGACTAAACTGACCCACCTGTGGCCAAGAGAAGCTTAGTTCTCAAGAGAGGAATCTTACCTGGAAAAGGGTCTTGCCCCTTTCCCTGCTGAGAATATGGCTATCCCCCAAAAATGAGTTGGCTCGTAGCCTCTTTGAAATGTTGGGTGGAAGACTATTTTCTTAGCTTGAGACTCCCTGACACTTGAGGATGTTTCCTCCCCCAAAATAAAAGGTAGATTATTTATAAAACAATTAAAAATATATTAGTATCTCTGAGTTTGCTTTCAACAGGCTCTATTTCAGTGTGGACATGACTCTCCACTCTTTCAAACCCAGGATGCAAGTTCTCCTGAAGACCTGGAGATCCCATGAGGCTGAAGACCACCTGTAACCACAAGGGGTCAGCCTTTTTTGAGGTGCTGCTGACCTCCCACTCATCTGTCAAGTTAGCCAGTGTTAAGCTGTGGATTCACCATACTCATCTAAAACCAGTACCTCTGGGATCCCTCCAGGGGAGATTGTCGTGGTCTTTTGAATCCTCAGATGGCCTTAAGTTAATATTCAAAGCCTCGTTCAAAACTCTACATAAGATATAATAAAGGGAACATGAGGTTTTCAGGACTATTCTCTTGGATTCGTTGTGTTTTGGGTATTTTAAAATTTGGGTCATCTATGTTATTAATCATCCTAGCGAATGTGGCTTTAAGTGTTGTTGTAAAATCATTAATAAAAGAACACAGGTCATGGTACTTCAACAAGCTGGATGCCAATCAGGTACTCCAGACTACTACCATTTACAGGGTAATGTTTTCATTCCTCATTATTATTATCCTGTGATGCACCTCCTCAGCAGTCAGAAAGACTGGTGACCAAATTCCCTATGATTGAGAAATTAATATATTGAAAGAATACTGAATCAGCCTAACTGTCCCATAGAACTGATTTTTTTATTTTTGGTTGGGGGCGGGCAGTAAAAAAAGAAATTGACCCTTCAGTCTCAAAGCTTGAAACTTATAATTTGTCTTATCTGAGCTCCTTACTCAGGAAACCAATCCTCAGGCCTCCCAGATGGTATCAAGGAACTGTCACCCAACAGACCACCACCACATCCAGACAATGAGATGCCAGGTCCCTTATCCATCATGATACCTTTCTATGAACTCCTATTCCTTACTCCTTCTAATTCCTGTTTTCCTACATACAGTTACATTTCCCCCCTGCTATATAAACTAATTTTTCCCAGTTGAGGAGACACATTTGAGACTGATTTTCCATTCTCCCTGGCTGCAGAACCTGAATGAAGCCACCTTTTCTGGTAATACTCATTGTCACAATAATTGGCTTTCTGTGTGTCAAGCAACAGGACCTAGACAAACCCCTGGCATTTCAGTAACATATTTTTAACATTTAGTGCTACATTCAGTGTCTTTTCTATAATGAGTGGATGTATTAGTCTTTTCTCACATTGCTATAAAGAACTATCTGAGGCTGGGTAATTTAGGAAGAAAAGAGGTTTAATTGATTCAGTTCCACAAGCTGTGCAGGAAGCATGGCTAGGGAGGCCTCAGGAAACTACAATCATGGCGGAAGGTGAAGGGGAAGCAGGCACAGCTTCACATGGCAGAGCAGGAGACACAGAGTGAAGGGGGCA
This sequence comes from Homo sapiens, assembly GCF_000001405.40. Lineage (NCBI taxonomy): Eukaryota > Metazoa > Chordata > Mammalia > Primates > Hominidae > Homo > Homo sapiens. Next base: position 132,413,113 of record NC_000004.12, on the reverse strand, counting down.
GTGTTACACATCTTTAAACAACCCTATCTCATGAGAACTCACTATCAAGAGAACAGCAAGGGGGATGTCTTCTCTCATGATCTAATCACCTCCCACCAGGCCCCTACTCCAACATTGAGGATGATAATTCAACATGAGATTTGGGAGGAAACGCAGAGACAAACCATATCAGAGGATATTCTTTTTTTCTAGAATATGTTACAGACCTCAGATATATGCTCCTGTGGTATTTTTATACCATTGTATTGTACTCTATTTCATTTGCTAAATTAATTTTTCTTTGCCTTCATTATACTTAACATTCTTGAAGGTACACACTATAAATGTGTTATTCATTATTGATGTTCTTCATCAAGCCTAGAAATCTTCACTTAGATGATGGTTATTATTTTGCTAAATGAATAAGTTTGAAGTGATAATAGGAAATTTAAATATTTACCTCTAATAGGAAATTTAGTGAAGTCAGAAATTAAATGATTCTGTGTTGGAATTTATATGCCCACTTGTTTATCTAAAGACAACCTCAATGAAGTGTCAGTAACTAAATACTTGGACATTGCCAAGATCTAACAGTCCTAGAAGATAAATGATTTGTACTGCCGATCAAGCTTTAAAAGACACAAAGCAATAACATGCATCTTTATCGCACCTCAATGTCTACTCTTCATTGATTTAAAATAATGAAGTAGGCTAACACTATGATGCATAAAAATGAAAGTTTCAAAAGGAATATTGTTGGACTCATGTAAATAAAGATATTAAACATAAGTTTCCTCTAACTTCAGTAACTGTAGATTTTTATTATGAATTTAAATTATTTATAAAGATGTGTGGGTGTGAGAGAGTTTTGCTTATATTAATATCCATTATACTGATCTTTTCTCTTGTTTCTTCACAAAAATGCATGCAAGATTTATAGCTTTGTCATTAAGGGTATTGACAATAGGAATAAATAGACTGCAATCAGTATTGACAATAGGAATAAACAGACTGCAATCAAATCATGATCATAACATTTATTAGTTAGGTGGTCTTGAATTATGCATGCCTTAATTTTATCCTCTATAAAATGGGGAGAAATATAATTGACTAACCTAACTGGATATTTTTAAATTAAATAATTTTAGTACACACACAAGTTAATATGTTAACTTACATATAAAAATCTGTATCTAAGCCTGGGCTTTTCATATTATTTCTAACTTTAAATTCATTTACTGTGTTATTACTTTACATTGTTATTTCTCAATTTGTTAAAAATATTACAAAATCTTTTTAAAAATTTAGTCTTATAGAACTCAAAATATAAAAATATGCTTGCCTATGTTAAAACCTAAGGAAAAGATGTTTAAAAATATTTAATCAACAAATTAATAATATTTTATCAATGAATTATTAAATTTTTCTAACAGGCATTTATTTTTATGACCCTTTTAAAAATATATACTACCCCTATGAATTTAAGTTAAAAGGTCTGGGGGAAATATTACAACATATATTTAAACTTATTTATATAATGAGTCAAAGTGAAAGATAAGGCTGTAAAACAAACCAATTTATGAGAAAGTAAATTGTACATTTCTGCATTAAGATGTTTCTCATTGGTCTCAAAAGACAAAAAACAATCTAAATAATAATTGCCTCTATGCATAAGACCCTAAGTAAAATGGGAAGTGGAAGTGAAAATCAATATTCTTTGAATAAAATGTTATTTGGATATTTAGAATGCTCTATTTGAATACTAAGCACTTTATTTATACTGTTTACAATTTTTCTCTTATTTCCTTTGAGGTACTAAGATTCTTCTTTGAACTTTATTTTTGAAATATTGTAGGTGATTCATACTGTCTTCAGGGACTTTCAGAAGCTCATGCGGAGTATTAACACCAGTTATCCATTGATTATATTAGTACATATACCTACAGTGTCAAGCCTATTTCTTTATTGCATGTCCAGTAATAATGTATTATGCTAAAGTTTGTAACCTTGAGATTGTGCCATATAAGAAAACGTCTTAAAGTTTAAAAAGTCTTTACTTCATACAAGTCTGACAGAATATATTTCATTATATTTCATATATTCATATATTTTAAAATATTACTTTATGTCAGAATAAGGAGTTAAAAATCCAAACTTTGCACTAATCATAATCAATATTATGACTACTAATATTTCACTTAAAGACATTTTTCTCTTGATTATACATATTCCTAGTATGTAAATATGCATTTTTAGAGTGCTATTTTAAAAATAGAACCGTTTCAAATGTTTGAATAATTGTAAATTTTAACATTATGATATAAAAGACAGAATCTCTGAACCTAAATGGCTTATATTTAAGTTTTTTTTTTTTTAACTTCAGGAGGTTGGAAAGAACATCACACTTAGAAAAACATCCAGGCAAAATGCAAGTCTGTTACTTTTCTTGAAACTATCAGAGAGCTGATATTTCAGACCAACCAAATAACTCATAATCTAAGAAGACATAGACTCCTTTAAAATGGTATAAGAAGTAACCACAATATTTCCAAGGGCAGAGGATACAGGATCCTGAGTAAAAACTCAGCTTAAAAAACTGATGCATTGGCAATACCAAGAATAGACTGGCAGAAGAGTAAACCCCTCTACTGGCCACAGATACAGGGAAGGATTGCACCTCTTGCTGGCCTATTTTCCTTGAACCCCAACAGAAGCTTGCTGGGTGAGGAGGTGGGTATTGAGGGTGAATCCTGAGAAAATCTGTCTCCTGAGAAAGCTTGGGTAATGCTGTGTGAGGGGAAAAATTCTGCACAATAACTGTTATCCAATATCTCAACTATGGAGTAAAAAAGCTTTAATCTGTCAGTAGAAGGGAAACAAAAACGATCACCCTTAAGGCACTGTTAACAATCAATATACATGGGAAAAGGGAGCCTTCTACCCCTATGGATATAAAACACCTCCTGGGACCAGAACCATAGCTGGTGGAAGAAAAGCATGATTTTGAAGGATACTCCCAGAGACCCAGGGATACAGTGACTTAGGCCCAGGGTCAAGCAGAATAGCAGAGAACATGCCTCCCTGTTCCCCAACTCCAAGCTACCAAGTATTAAGTAGAAATAACAGTACAATACTTCTGTGAGATTTGGAAGAGACAGACTTTCTCTGAGGAACAGCATGAACTAAAGCCTTTAAAGTTAATGGATGGAGAGAAGTCATTGAGCATAACTTCCTCACAACCAAAGTTCACACTAATTATAAAGTATCTATCCATAGCAATTAGAAGCTTGGATACATTATGGATAACCATTGCACAACATGTTTTAAAACCAGCCCAACTCTTGACTAGATTACACAAAGCCCGTCCTAGGAACAAGGAAGAGAGAAGGGATGCTCACCTCCAAACCGGAAAACAACAGCCCCATTGATCTACATAAAATATCTGGGTTTAAACAGAAATTACCCAGGGCAAAAAAGAGAAAACAAAAAACAAATACTTCCAACTGACAAAGAAACAGATCAGACTTAGATATGACAGAGAGGTTGGAATTATCTGGCAGAGATTAATATATTGAAGGCTCAAACAGAGGAGGTGAAAAACATGTGAGAACACATGTCATTTCAACACAAAGATGGAACATATGATAAAGAATAAAATGGAAATGCTAAAAATTAAAAAACACAGTAACAGAGATCAATAATGCCTTAAACAAGCTCACTGGTATACTTGACAACTGAAGAAAGTAAGAATAACCTTCAAGAGATATCAATAGCAATTATCCATACTGAAAAGCAAAATAAAAAAATAAATAAAAAGATTGTGAAAACAGAAAAAAATGCCAGGGCATCTAAGAGCTGTGAGACAATATCAAATGAAGTACAATATATATTTTCAAAATACTAGAAGAGTGAGCAAATGGAATAGAAGAGCGTATTTGAAGAAATAATGGCCACAATTTTTTCAGGCTTAATTATACACATTAAACCTAAAAATTAAGAAGTTCAAAGGATATCAAACAGAATAAATACCACAAAATCCTAGGCATATTATATTCTAACTGGTGAAAACAAAACAGACAAAAATCCTAAAAGTAACAGGAGAAAATAAGACATATATCATGGAGGGGAAAGAAATAAGAATTATTGTACACATTTTGCCAGAAGCCATGTAAGAAAAAATACAATGAAGTAACATCTTTAAAGTGCTGTAAAAAAAAAACACACAAAAAACAAAAACAAACCAACCAACTAAACAAACAAACAAACAAAAACCTATCAACCCAGCATTCTGTACTCAGGTTTCGCAGCTATTCAAAAACTGGGAGAATTCTCCACCAGTAGGATGACACTGAAATAAATGCTACAGTTCTTCAGAGTAAACAGTATGACACCAGACAGAAATATAAATTTACAACAAGAGATTAAGAGCAGGGAGAACTAAATAAATAATAAAGATAAAATAAAGTTAGATTTTTTTCTTCTTTATACTATTTTTATTTGACTAAAGCTAAATTTTTACAGTGCATTGAGTGTTTATAGTATATACAAAACTAAGATATATGACAACTGTATCATCAAAGAAGGGAGGAACTGAAAATATATTGTTTAAAATTCCATACAGTACACATGAAGCAATATGATATTATTTAACTATAAGTAATTAAAATGACATAAACTCAGGGCAATCGCCAAAACCATAAATTAATAGTGAAGATAAAATGAAATAATTAAAAAGACCAATTAGCCCTAGAGAAGCCAGAAAATGAAGAGAAAATAACAAAGAGCAGATGGAACAAATAGAAAACCTCCCATATATGGCAGCATTTATCTAGTCATAGCAATAACCAGACTAAATGTGAGTGACTTAAATACAGCAATAAAAAAAAGAAAGAGACAAATTGGATGAAAAAGCAACTACCAGTATTCCTTCTATAAGAAACACAGTTTAAACATGATGACATAGGAAAGGTAAAAATAATAGGATGGAAAAAGATGTACAATCAAACATTACCCAAAGGAAGCTGGAAGAGCTGCATTTATATTAAAGTACTTCAGAACAATGGTTATTAATAGAAATGGAGATATTGCATGATGTAAACGTGGTCAATTTTCCCAGAGACACAACATTCCCAAACATATATTCTAAACAGAGATTGAAAAACATAAAGCAAAACTTGATAGAACTGAGAGAAGAAATAGACAAATACACAATTATAACTGGAAACTTCAACGTCGCTCTAACATATAAAATAAGAAATTTGAAAATCAGTAGACTATAGAAGACCAAAATAATACTATCTTCAATTTGACCTTGTTGACATTGGTAAAATTACCTCATAACATTAAAATATGGTTTTTTCTTCATATGGACAGGGAATATTCACCAAGATAAACCATTAAGCCTTCTCTGAAAGGCTTTGCAATCAGCTACATGCTAGACTGCTTTCATCTTGAATAAAAGAAGGCTCTCTTGAAGATCCATGGAAGTGCTATATCAGGTACTGTGGGACACAAGCTTCTGATCTCATTGCTTAGAAAACTCTAAGGCCCTATCACTGGACTAAGTCAGAATTTATAGTACTCTAATTAAGCCAATGGGTTCATGCGACTACTAACCCAACATCAAGCAAAACAAAATTAGGTAGAACTGAATGAACTGATGAGAGATGAGTATGAGTTTTGTTTAGAATATTGTTGATGCTTCATGTTCTATACTCTAATTATAAAGAGCTCATTTTTATTTTCTCTTAAGTTCGTAACTCATAATGATTTAATAGAATATGCTTTTCTAAACAGAAATCGAATATTTTTTTCTTTGTGCCTAATCTCTTCAGAATTTGGAAACTCTGATTATTCATATTTTCGTGATAGTATGATTGTTTGCATAGTTTCAGTTACAACTTTCCCTCCATGTAACAGGATATAATTGGAAATATTGGTTTCCTAACCGAGGCTTTCACTGGAATATCATATTTGAGAATGATGTGCATAGAACTGGATATGACCAGACAATTTTAAGAAACTAAAGTTGACTTTATGGAGCCAACATTTATAAAGTCCTCATGTGAAACTGGATTCATGCTTAAATATAACCAAGTTTCCAGTCTTACAGGTGAGAAAGGAAGGTCACTTACTAGCAGGCCCAGGAACCATAGCATATTTGAGGGATAACAAGAGAAAAGATATTCACCCAAACCTATATAGGTACCAAAGGTGAAATCTGACAAGTTCTCAACTTGTGTTTTTAGCCTTGAAAGATATTGAAAAGGTCATTTGAGATTCTTTTAAAAAAATGACAAATCAAACATAACAAAGGATATGTGTTCAGTTATGCCTTTTGATATACCTATCTAATAAAGCGGTCAACCTTTGCAATCAAGGATAATCTTAGTCATATTTGATCAAAAGAAGGAGTGAATGTAAATAGAAATTTTATTATCTAATAGAAAACTTATCACAGCCTTGTGGGCTATCAGATTCTGGTCCTGTTCATTGTCTTTAAAACACACTTTGTCAGTGTTTGCCACATTTTTAATTGTTATAGTTTATTTCGTTATCTATTTACAACTCTCCAAATTAACATTTTCAATTTTTCTCCTTACCTCTTGACATGACATCACTGAAAACTAATACTTGACTGCCCACATCCTTATTGGGACTCAAAGTTGTCTCATAGCTGGCCTTTCCTCCCAGGAGATGAAAAAGTCCTGTGAGCTGAAGCTGGAAGACTTCAAATAAACTTCGAGGGACTCATCACTACAGCATATCATGTATGGGTAACCTTCATGCCTGGAAATGCTGCTGTGTAAGACACTTCGGAGGTTACCAGAACTCTTGCATCCTGCATGCTCTCTGCTCCAGAGAAAGTAACTGTGAATCTGAATAATCTTATCAAAACCTCACTGATGTCTATGTCATCATCAAAAACATTGAGATTACATAGTGGGAAATCTGTTGTTGCCACTGCTGTTCTCAGTCTGCCTTCTAAAGATAATTTAATCGCAGTGTTAAAGAATCTTCCTAAATAGGTGCCCTCTAGACTCAGAAACTGGGTTTATAGTCTGCCCTAAATATTAATCTTTGTTTTTCTTTTATTTTCACAGGAATTCTTTGCATTATATACCTGATTGCTCACACCATGCAGCAAATATTCTCTACTGCCATGTCTTAGCAGATGATTCAATTTATTCTTCAAATCTGCTTAAAATCTAATGAAATAAACCACATAAGCAACTCCTTATGTTGGTGTTGGAAAAACCAGGTTTCTCTTTGAAGAAAATGGGAAGATCAGCCAAGGTTGTCTAATGTTTTTCCCACCTTCACTAAACTTTGAACAGTCTTCTTTGTGACTCTAGGCCTATGACATTCCTTTTCTTAAAGCATTTACTTTAGAAAATTTATTATAATTCCCTTATCTGCAAATATTTTTAACAGCTTCTTTACAGTTTACAACTCAGGAATACCTTTCTCAAGAACCTGAGAGCTAGCCCTTTGAAGTGTAATCGTCAAGGGTGATAGCACTTCTAATATCTCCCAGTTTTTGTGGGAGGATAGGACTCCAATTATTTTCAAAAGCCTAACATCATTAATGCACTGAAGACTTGTTTGTAATTTAATTATTTTCTTGCTACTTCCCTTTATTAGAATATGAGATGTTTGAGGAATTATCCAGATGTGTTATTTAGTTGATGTGTTATTTAGTTTGAAGAACTTTAATAAGTTATTTTTAATGCTGCATGTAGGAAATCTGTATGTGTTTCATGTGATACATACAAAAAATAAATGAAAGTAGGTTGTATTTTCCATGTGTCAGTTCTCAGTGGTGAATAGTGAAGATAGGTAATTGTTGCTCATAAGCATAACCTTCATTTATCCATTTTCAGAATGTCTTATGATATTTGGAACTGGAAGTGTAGCATAAGCATATACTATTACATTAGATTTGGTTGTCTTCTCTGTAATAAATTAATACTAAACATAGTCACTTAACAGATAGGAAATTATCAGCTCTTATTTTCCTCTGAAACAAATTAATATAAAAAGTAAAGTTTCTAAAGCATATTATAATTATAATTAATCTTAAGTATGTTTTAAGATTAATTTTACTAAAGAAAACAAATTATTTGCTTAAAATAGAAATTAAATTGTATATGAATAATTATAAGAGGTGGCAAATATCTGCATGTGTTATGATACTCTGATGCTTGAGAATAAATGCAGGTGCCAACAGTAATATTTACTTGCTAAATTTTTATATGTATTACTTCTGGAAACAGATCCAATATTTTCTAACAACTAGAGTAAATATAGAATATGCTGTTGTTTCCCCCATTTAACACCCCAAATTTAAAATCGAATCCATTGTCCGTTTTTGATCCATATTTCATTGTAAAAATAAACAGGCAGTCATCCTATGGATTACCTACTTTCCTTTATAGTCATTCATTGTTATATTAAGTATTCAGTTAACCCTGCTCAATAAGGATATATATGTTATATTAACAAAAAAAATTATGGTAATTTTGTAAAACATGACTCTTTATGACAGAATATTTTGATATTTTAATTGTAAATATAACTATGAATGTCTAAATGTATCTCATTTAATTTATGAGATTTTAATCTGTTAAAAGACATGAAGTAATTTGAAAATAATTCACCAAGGATCAAGATGGCAGATAGTAGGCAGGACTAGCTTGCAGCCCCCACTTGGGCAGACAGACCAGCATGTGGAGACTCACATCATGAACTTTTGCTCCAAGAACTACTACAACAACATGCCAGGAAAGCTGAGATAATCAACAGACCCTTTGAAGGAACTGGATCACGGCTGCAGGCTCCCTGAGATGCCATGAAACTATGAATATGCTTGCTTTTTCAGCAGGGAGGCTGGTGGTCTGGGGCAAGTTCTTAGCCTTGGTCAGCAGCTGCCTGGAAATAGACTCAGTGCTGTTGGGGGCATGCAATGGGAATGATACTGGGCTTTAGGACTGCAGACTGCTTGGGAATGGGGTGAAGCCTGTGACTGTTGGTTTTCCACACTTCCCTGGTGACGTGTGACTCAGCAAAGGCAGCCATAATCCCCCTGGGAACATAACTCCATTGGCCTGGGAACCACACCACCATTTCCCTCAGAAGCCACAGCAAGTCCCACCCAAAGAGAGTCTGAGCTCAAACACACCAATCCCTGTCCCCACCTGGTGGTCTTCTCTACTCACCCTGGTAGCTGAAGACAAAGGTCATAATCTCTTGGGTGCTCTATGGCCCTGCCCACTGCCTGAGAAACCCGAATACTTAACCAGGTGACCCTAGGGCAAGTTTGCTTCCTCTCTATAGTACCACAGCTGATGTGCTCTTGAAAATGCTGCCTCCTGGGTGGAGGACAACCAACACAAAACCAGCCCACTAAACAAAAATACAATGAAGGACCCTCACAGAGTTCACTCCCCTGCTACCTCCACCAGAGCAGGTACTGATATCCACAGCTGAGAGACCTAAAGATGGATCACATCACAGGACTCTTTGCAGATGCTTCCCAGTACCAGCCCAGAGCCTGTTAGCTCCACTGGGTGGCTAGTCCCAGATGAGCAAAAACAATGACTGTAGTTCAGCTCTCAGGAAGCCTCATATCTAGGGAAATGGAGAGAACAGCACATCAAGGAAGCACCCATGGGGCAAAAGAATCTGAACAGCAACTCTTGAGTCCCAGATCTTCCCTCTGACATTGTCTATCCAAATGAGAAGGAACCAGAAAAAACAATTCTGGTAATATGAAAAAACAAGATTGATTAACACCCCCAAAAAATCATACCAGCTCACCAGCAAAAAATCCAATCCAAGACAAAATCTCTGAATTCCCAGGAAAGAATTCAGAAGGTTGATTATTAAGCTAATGAAGACAGCACCACAGAAAGGTGAACTCCAACTTAAAGAAATAAAAAACAGGATATGAAATATCTTGTATCTTCAGGATATGAAGTTATTCTGCAGTTGTTGGGTAGAATATTCTGTAAATATTCGTTTTGGAAAAATCTTCAGTGAAATAGCATAAATAAAAAAAAAACTTCTGGAAGTCAAGGACACACTGAGAGAGATGCAAAATGCACTGAGAAGTATTAGCAATAGAATTGAACAAGCAAAAGGAAAAACTTTAGAGCTTGAAGACAGGGCTTTTGAATTAACCCAATCTGTCAAAGACAGAGAAAAAAGAATTAAACAAAAAATGAACAAACCATCCAATAAGTTTGGGACTGTATTAACATCCAAATTTAAGGATAATTGGTGTTCCTGAGGAAGGAGAGAAATCTAAAAGTCTGGGAAACATATTTAAGGGAATAATTGAGGAAAACTCTCCCTGCTTTGCTAGAGATCTAGACCTCCAAACACAAGATGCCAAAACACATCTGGGAAATTCATTGCAAAAAGAGCATTGCCTAGGCACATAGTCATCAGGTTATCTAAAGTCAAGATGAAGGAAAGAATCTTAAGAGCTGTGAGGCAAAATCGTCAGGTAAACTACAAAGGGAAATCTATCAGAGTAACAGCAGATTTCTAAGCAGAAATCCTACAAGCCAGAAGTGATTAAGGTCCTATTTTTAGCCTCCTTAAACTAAACAATTATCAGTCAAGAATTTTGAATTCAGCAAAAATAAGCTTTATAAATGAAGAAAAGATACAGTATTTTCCAGACAAACAAATCCTGAGAGAATTTGCCACCACAAGAACGGCTAAAAAGGCTCTAAATCTTGAAATAAATCCACAAAGTACACCAAAATAGAACCTCCTTAAAGCATAAATCTCACAGGACCTACATAACAATAACACAATGATTTAAAAAAAAGGTATTCAGGCAGCAAATAGCAAGATGAATACATTAGTATCTCACATCTCGATACTAATATTGAATGTAAATGGCCTAAATGCTCCACTTAAAAGATACAGAATGGCACAATGGATGATAATTCGCCAGCCAAGGATTTGCTGTCTTCAGGAGACTCACATAGCATGTAAAGACTCACATAAACTTCAAGTAAAGGTGTGGAAACAGATGTTCCATATAAATGGACACCAAAAGCAAGCAGGAATAGCTATTTTTATACCAGACAGAACAAACTTTAAAGCAACAGCAGTTAAAAAAGATGAAGAGGGACATTATATAATGATAAAATGACTAGTTCAACAGGAAAATATCACAATCCTAAATATATACGCACCTAACACTGGAGCTCCCAAATTTATAAAATAATTAATGCTAGACCTAAGAAATGAGGCAGAGAACAACACAATAATAGTGAGGCACTTTAGTACTTCACTGACAGCACTAGACAAATCATCAAGACAGAAAGTCAACAAAGAAGCAATGGACTGAAACTATACCCTAGAGCAAATGGACTTGACAGATATTTACAGAACATTCTACTCAACAACTGCAGAATAAAGTATTCATTAGCACATGGAATATTCTCCAAGATATACCACATGGTAGAGCACAAAAGAAGCCTCAGTAAATTTAAGAAAATTTAAAATGTATCAAGTACTCTCTCAGACCACAGTGAAATTATATTGGAAGTCAACTCCAAAAGGAACTCTCAGAACCATGCAAATGCATGTAAATTAATCTGCTCCTGAATGATCATTGGATCAACAATGAAATCAAGATGGAGATGAAAACATTCTTTGAATTGAATGATAGTAGTGACACAACCTATCCAAACCTCTGGGATACAGCAAAAATGAGGCTAAGAGGAAAGTTCATACCATTAAATGCCTACATCACAAAGTCTAAAAGAGCACAAAGAGACAATCTAAGGTCACACCTCATGGAACTGGAGAAATAAGAACAATCCAAACTCAAACCCAGCAGAAGAAAATAAATAACAAATATCAGAGCAGAACTAAATAAAATTGAGACAGACAAATAAAGAAAAATACAAAAATAAAACAAAAAGCTGGTGTCTTGAAAAGATAAATAAAACTGATAGACTATTAGTGAGATTAACCAAGAAGAGAGATGATCCAAATAAGCTCCATTAAAAATGAAACAGGAGATATTACTACTGATACCTCAGAAATACAAAAGATTATTCAAGGCTACTATGAACACTTTTACATGAATAAACTAGAAAACCTAGAGAAGGTGAATAAATTCCTGGAAATATACAACTTACTTAGATTAAACCAGAAAGATATAGATTCTCTGAACAGACCAATAACAAGCAGTGAGATTGAAATGATAATTTAGAAATTATCAACAACAAAAAAAATTCCAAGACCAGACAGATTCACAGCTGGATTCTTTCAGACATCGAAAGGAGAATTGGTACCATGCCTATTCACCCTATTTCACAGGATAGAGAAAAAGGGAATCCTCCCTAAATCATTATATGAAGCCATTATAATACCAAAACCAGGGAAGACAAAAAAGAAAACTACAGACCAATATCCTTGATGAACATAGATGCCAAAGTCCTCAACAAAATACTAGCTAACTGAATCCTACAGCATATCAAAAAGATAATCCACCATGATCAAGTTGGTTTCATACCAGGGATGCAGGGATAGTTTTTTGTAAGTCAATAAATGTGATACACCCCATAAACAGAATTAAAAACAAAAATCACATGGTCATCTCAATAGATGCAGAAAAAGCATTTGACAAAATCCAGCATCGCTTTATAATTAAAACCCTCAGCAAAATTGGCACAGAAGAAACATACCTTAAGGTAACAAAAGCCATCTATGACAGACCCACAGCCAACATTATACTGAACAGTGAAAAGCTGAAAGCATTCCCGCCTGAGAACTGGAAGAAGACAAGGATGTTCAATTTTACCACTTCTATTTAACATATTACTGGAAGTCCTAGCCAGAGCAATCAGACAAGAGAAAGAATCAAGGGCATCCAAATTGGTAAAGAGGAAGTAAAACTCTCTGTTTCCTGATAATAAAATGATATACCTAGGAAACCCTAAAAACTCATCCAAAAAGCTCCTAGAACTGGTACTGGTATAAAAATAGGCACACAGACCAATGGAAAAGAACAGAGAACCCAGAAATAAAGCCAAATACTTACAGCCAACTGATTTTTGACAAAGCAAACAAAAACATTAAGTGGGAAAGGGCACTCTATTCAATAAATCGTGATGGGATAATTGGCAAGGCCATGGTCACCAAAACAGTGTGGTACTGGTATAAAAATAGTCACATTGACCAATGGAAGAGAATAGAGAACCCAGAAATAAAACCAAATACTTACAGCCAACTGATATTTGACAAAGCAAACAAAAATATTAAGTGGGAAAGGACACCCTATTCAACAAATGGTGATTGGATAATTGGCAAGGCACATGTAGAAGAAGAAACTGGATCATCCTTTCTCACGTTATAAGAAAATCAACTCGAATAGACCAAAGACTTAAACCTAAGACCTGAAACAATAACAATTCTAGAAGATAACATTGAAAAAAAGCCTTCTAGACATTGGCTGAGGCAACGATTTCATAGCAAAGAACCCAAAAGCAAATGCAAGAAAAACAAAGATAGAAAGATGGGGCTTAATTAAACTAAAAACGCTCTGCACAACAAAAGAAATATTCAGCAGAGTTAACAGACAACCCACAGAGTGAGAGAAAATTTTCACAATGTATATATCTGACAAAGGACTAATATGCAAAATCTACAAAGAGCTCAGACAAATCAGCAGGAAAAAAAAATCCCATCGAAAAGTGGTCTAAGGACATGAACAGACAATTTTCAAAAGAAGATATACAAATGGCCAATATGCATGTGAAAAATGCTCAACATCACTATTTATCAGGGAAATGCAAATCCGAATCATAATGCGATACCACCTCATGCCTGCAAGAATGGCCATAATAAAAAAAATCAAAAATAATAGACATTGACATGGATGTGGTGAAAAAGGAACACTTTTACACTGCTGGTGGGAATGTAAACTGGTACAACCCCTGTGGAAAACAGTGTGAAGATTCCTTAAAGAACTAAAAGTAGGTCTACCATTTGATCAGCAATCCTACTACTAGATATCTGCCCAGGGGAAAAGAAATCATTATATGATAAAGACACTTGCACACATATGTTTATAGCAGCACAATTTGCAATTGCAAAAATATGGAACCAGCCCAAATGCCCATTAACAAATGAATGGATAAAGAAAATCTGGTATATATATATTATATATATATGTATATTATAGATATATATAAAATACATATATCTATAATATACATATATATATAATATATATATACCAGATTTTCTTTATCTGGTATAATATATATATATATGCTGTAAACTACTACTCAGCCATAAATAGAAACAAAAAATTGGCATTCATGGCAACTTGGGTGGAATGGGGAACTATTATTCTAAGTGTAGTAACTCAGGAATGGAAAACCTAACATCATATGTTCTCACTCATATGTGGGAGCTAAGCTATAAGGAGGAAAGGCATAAGAATGATACAATGGATTTTGGGGACTCGGGAAAGAGTGGGAGATGGGTGATAGATAAAAGCCTACACATTGGGTACAGCCTACACTTCTTGAGTGATGAATGCACCAAAATCTCAGAAATCACCACTAAAGAACTTATTCATGTGATCAAACCCCACCTGTTCCCCAAAAACATATTGAAATAAAAAAAAGTTATTTTAAATAGAAAATAACTGATCACTGTAGTTACCCATACAGATGTGATTGATTTAGATACTCTTGCCAAAGATTAAACATATATGTAAAGACAGAGAGAGATGCCAGTCACAATAAACAAAACATTTTAAAAAGAAGTTGTATCGGCCTGGCGCAGTGGCTCACGGCTGTAATCCCAGCAGTTTCAGAGGCTAAGGCGGGCGGATCACGAGGTCAGGAGATCGAGACCATGTTGGCTAACACGGTGAAACCCCGTCTCTACTAAAAATACAAAAGTTTAGCCAGGCATTGTGGCAGGCGCCTGTAGTCCCAGCTACTCAGGAGGCTGAGGCAGGAGAATGGCATGAACCCAGGAGGTGGAGCTTGCAAGGAGCCGAGATCATGCCACTACACTCCAGGCTGGGCTCTCAAAAAAAAAAAAAAAAGTTGTGCCATGTCCTTAAATACATGGATAAATTCTAATAAGTATGTTATGCAATTATAATATAAAATGTTACAATTAAAAATTGAAATAATTTGAGTCACATATTATTTAAAAAACCTTATCCCTGTTATCTCAACTGGAATAAAGAACAAATAAAGCCTGCTTATGCAGCATGCTTTTATAGATTTTACCAATATTATTCTAAGTACCACAATATTTATTTTTTTAATTTAACAAAATAATAAAATATATTTATTGCAGAAAACCTGAAAAATATGGACAAACCACCATAGAAAACTATTGTACTAAAATTGTCCAGATTCCCACCAACCAATATAATATTAATGTTTTTGTTTGTAAAGTTTTAATGTATTTTTTAAAATATTTATTGTGATACATACAATAAAAATAAACCTATAGTGTACATTCCCATTTTTTTCAGAAATAAAGATTTCAGTACATTCATGTTTATTGTTAATATATCAGTCATAACTGTAATAATGATTTATATGGAAACATATCCAAAATAATTCTTCAACTCAGAAAGATATGAAGTCGACAAAAGAATTGAGAATGCCACAGTAACTATTATTAAAACAAAATTATGTATGTATGTGTAGATAGGTAGTAATTATGTTGACAGATTAATAGAAAGATGAACAGATGATAGAACCTTTAAGATTGTGAAATAAACTTCCAATTCTTCTTCCTTAAAGTAAGCAGAAATGCATTGCAAGCTATGACTAAATATACAGTCCCCAAGAAAAATTTATGTCTGCTTCAGTAAGGAACTATGTTTTACTTAAACCATCCAGATCTGCAGTATTCTGTGTTAATAAAGCTGTGTTCACTTTATACCAATGGCAACTGGCCCTGTCAACAATTTGAATTAGGACTTTTATTACGTATTGAGGGAAAGCTCAATTTTGCTTATGTGCTTGCTAAAAGTTCTCTTTAAATTCAATGCCTTCTTTAACTCATATTGCTAAAGAGGTTTTACTTACCAATGGGCACTATAAAACACTGCCTTCTTGCTTATTTATTAACTTATAAATATATTTTCTCCCTGTTTACAATGTACAACTGCTCATGTCTAGTCTTTTTGCTGTGAGATCTTTGCGTCTGCTCTCTGTCAAGTTCCTCTCTTGCAATGTCAATAGAGAAGGCAATTTATGCTTATTTTTGTAGAACAGCTGCAGTTTGCAGAATTATAGATATCATGCTACTTCCTTTCAGCACCATTAAATACCAAACCTTCCCACAGGCATTTAGGGAATGATTTTTTAACCTACTAGTACACATTCTTAAGTTAATTATGTGTTCATATTTCCATGCCATTACTCTTATTTATTCCAAAGTACTTATCAATTCTTTTAATATAGTCTACCAATTTGCCACATTAAATTTTTTTTACCTAAATTTAGGATAATGTTGAAGCAATAAAAACATACTCAGATCAATTTATAGTGGCGATTGAGTATGCAAGCACTTTCATGTAGAAAATAAACAAAGGTAGAGAAAATGGCCCAACTTTCTCATGTTATTTTTTTCTTTGAACTCTGTTTTGACGGAGACATCTATATGGCCATTCCTACATTTGCATTTCTTATTTTTCAATAAACATCTATGTAAGGACATTGATTGTCTAAAACATGCTTTTAGAAAAGAAAAATTAAATAAATTGATATGGGATAATTCATTTTTCTTTTCTAACTAGTAGGGTTTAAAATCTGAGCTGAGTGAAGATTCGGTTAAAGTACAAATCATGATGTGTGTACCCATCAAAGGTCTTATTTTCACAAAACTTGCAGTATCTTAATTCAATTCACTTCCTGTCATTTTGTCAATTTATATAGTAACATACTTTTTAATAACAAAAGCTGATAAGATTGTGCAAAAACGTCAATATATTATGGATACTTGCTTTTATTTATATACTTAAATTACTAGTTAGCTTTGGGCATGAAGTAATTACAATTTATTGAATTATTTTATAAGTACAGAGGCAATATTACAATAAATATGGGTTTTGTTAGGTAATTTTCATACAGGCTTGACTATTATCACTGATTCGCTGAGAAATTGTCTTTTAAGAGCAATAGAGAGTGATATTTTTAATTTACAGTTTTTATAATTTGACTTCTTCATGGAATGCAGATATGTCTTATCTAGACTCTGTTAGTATGAAGCCTGGCATTTGTAGGGTGTAGAAAGTATGATGCTGTTCATTATTGATTTATTACCACCATCAAGTGTTTTCCTCACCAGGGAGCAGTAAAACATTTCCTTTTCTATCAGTTACATTCAGCTGAGTCCAAAATAGGAATTTCTGGGCTATTCTTACCAATACTAAATCTTGTGAGGGTAAGTAAATGCTCTAAATGTCACAGTCACTGTATATATTCTTTTATTATGTCTTTAAATATTCTTTTCGTTTTCTTTTCAGACTAGTTTATTTCCACTGAAAAAGTTGATGTGCTTAGAGTTAGCTAATGCAATAAATTTAACTGGCCCCACATGGTTCATAAAATATTTAACATATCCCAAAATGTCAAAATATTTTTGCCTACTGTTTTCAAAAACTATGATTTCTCATGCTGCCAGAAGTGAAGAGTTACGTTCAGTCCTTGAAGCAGATAATAAGAACAAACTGATATTTTAAATGTATGTATTTAAAAATCTATGTAACCAAATTTCATTTCACATTTTCTGCTACCTTGCCTAGTGTATCTTTTATACTAATAAGAAATAAATCGGACACACTTCTTATTCCTGAAAAATAAACTAACAGTGAAAATATTAAGCTTTGCTAAAAAGAAGACATTCCAGCTTGTAACATTTCCACATTTTCTTGCATTTAATAACAATTCCTTCCACATCCAGAAGGCCATGTGCAGTGATTATATGCCACAGTGGGGAATAAACTTTTCCTTTCACTCCACTAACGTTTCATATTTTTTTCTTTAACCCACTTATTTATAATAGGCTTAAAGGAATAATGGCTTCTCAGATATCAAAAAGAAGTGAAGCAGCTAACATAGAATTTCATGAAGTTTTTGCTGGGTGGCAGAGCAGCAATAGTTTCATAAGCAGAAATGTTGCTCTGTGCACTTGGCCTTTATCGTTGATTCCAGTGCAGAGTTCTCTTTTGGTGCATGGCCAGTGTTATAATCAGGAGACAACAGAGAAGCTGCATAATGATGATGCATTCATTTTAAGAGAAGGAAGAACTAGTGGTTATTATCTTAATGTTTAACAAAGAAACATAAATGATCATGCCTGGTCCTCTTGAAAATGTATTGAATCTCTCTAATGACTAAATTAACTAAATATCACTAATATCTTGGAACACATTCTCTTCAATCATTACAGGACATATGAGTGATACTTTTCCAGAGACATCTTCAAAATAGAAAACATTTTATAGAAAAAAATGATAAATCATTGTAACACTATGAATAAAGTTTAAACGTGTCTAGGTGTATGATTTTAAAGGTATTTGTGACTATTATATTCATTGTACATTACATACTTTTGGGGCTAATTTTAAGAAACAGTACCTACTTACTATCAATGTCCTGACTTTAAAATATAAATAAAATAATATCCTTATATTACATATTTACATGTCTAATATTGTTAAAACTGTGGTCTCAAGGAAATGCTTTAGTTCAATGTAATTTCCACAATGTTGAATATTTCAAACTCAGCCATAAATAAAAACAGATATTAAATATGGTTTACACATTTAAAGTAGTTGTAAAATATAAAAATATATGTTGGGGTGAGAATACAATATTTTTTGAACTATCTATTTTGAAAAATATATTCATTCATCTTTTTAAAAATAACTTTTTAAAAGTCATTTTCACTGCATCAGTGGGTGTCTTACAGTTGATATTTCTATCCATATATGATTGAAATTCCATCACCTGATTCTCATAATTCTCATTAATACTTAGACTTGTGGAGTATTATTTACAGATTCATCAATAACTAGTCCAATGATCTTGAATAAGCTATATAATTTAAGATGCAGTTTTCCTATTTATAAATCAAGGATGTGGGAATATATAATACATATAGACTGCAGGCTCTATCAGCTCTATCTTTTATAACTTTCTGTGAATGTCATGTGGTATTAGAACTGACAAATACAAATAAAGCCAAAACACATCTATTTTGTCTAGTGTGTCATTTTATTTTAAAATTCTATATTTCTATGTAAGTACTTGAAATTGTGTCTAACAGAAATGAGACGATTAGTTAACAATAACTTATTAAAAAAATTAAAAACTAACATGAAGTTATATTATTTAAAAGAGTTTCCTTGCCCTCTCTTTCTGCAATCACACAGACACATACACACAAACACCCCTGACATGGTCTTAAACATGTGCTCTCACATAAACACACATTTCTAAGCCTGTCTCCCACTGCCAATTTTACTTTGTGACTAGGACAAGAACTTCAAAATAGAAAAGCTAAAGTATAATTTATTTTGCTTAATATTTTTATTTCTCTTATACTTTTTCAAGATTTAAAATGTTCAATAACCACACTACAGGTGTTGAAGGAAACACTTTCATTTTATTAACCTGTGGAACTCTTCTTCTCTCTATATAAATGCTGTCCAAAGCTGCCAATGTAAATTTTTATGTCAAAAACTTTACAAAATTATATATTATCAAACATACATGTTTATTCTTTGGTTCTACACATTTGCTCATCTTCCTTTAATATTGGGGATAATTTCTATTTTTTCCTTGCTTTTCTTAATGCTATATATTGTTTTCTAGTTTAATTTCTAAAACATAAATACTACATACAACATTATTTTAAATCAAGTTCCCCAGAACATTTTAATTATAAAAACAAAGATTTCCCTACAAAATTCATCCTTTCCTTAACTACCCCTCTTGAGACCAATTTAATTATTTCTGTTTTTAAGTCTTCGATGGTCTTCTTCTGTAAAAGAGATAGCTAACTTTCCTCCATTATGTATCCTTCCCTTATTCATCTAGCCATTGGACCCTATGCAAATCTAAAATTTATTGAAATGAAAGATCCAAAAACTGATTGGAGCACTAGCACATTGAATGATTTCAATGTAGTCTATTGCTTTAAAAAAACCATGAATTGTGGGTTTTCAGAGATTTGCATACTAGTTTAATTTTTGAGTTTACTGTGAAAATTTGCAAAAAATAATCAAAATACATATCTCAAAACTTCAAATACAGAAAGACAAAGTGAGGCATTATTTTCAAATTATAAAGTCCACTGATTTAAACTTCACGCAAGGCTAAGCATAGAACTTAGAAATCTAGTTTTTCTAGATGCTGTTTTCAGTAAAGAACCTGAATTGAAATTAACCAGGTAGTGAACTGTAGTAAAATATTTAGTAAAAACTTTGCAAATGATGACCTAAGCCAGAAATCTTGAACTTGGAATAGGTGAGACTTTTATGACTTTCCCTTGTTGAAGGGTAAGTATAGTGTATTTACACTGAGGAGAGTGCATTTAGACACTAAGTGATAGGAGGGCAGATTGTGAAGGGCACCACTAATTTTTCCCAACATCCACTTTCGTTCTTGTTTGAGATATATTGTCTTGACCTCTTCCTATGATAGATATGGACATAATTGACATATCTTTTTCATCTTATCCCACCATTTCCAGTGTAGTTATAATTTCTATTGTTTCTTCTTCCAAGGGTCCACTAAAAACAGTACATTTATATTTCTAGTTGATATGCCATCACCTACAACAGCATTTCTACTCCCATTTTGTAAATTAAAGAGATTAGTCATCCTTACCTTTCATCCATCTCTCCTCCCAAATTTCAATTCACAACTTTACAGATTTCATCTTTCATATTCCCAGTAATAAAAATAATTTATTCTCTTTGTAACATTAGTTAGTGCTTTTGTGACTTATTTTTCAAATAATTCTAAGAGTTAAAAGTAATTTGAAAACTTTAGAAATGTACTTTTTACTGTTGGGTATGATGTTAGCTATAGGCTTGTCATATATGGTCTTTATTGGCCTGAGATAAATTTCTTCTACACCTAATGTGCTGAGAGTTTTTCTCATGAAAGAATATTGAATTTTGTAAAATGCATTTTCTGCATCTGTTGATATGACATTTTTGTCACTCATTCTATTAATGTGGTATATCACATTTATTGATTGTGCATGTTGAATCATCTTGGGTGCCAAGGATATATCCCAAATGTCCATGGTGAATGATATTTTTTTTATGTGCAGTTGAATTCAGTTGGCTAGTGTTTTGTTGAGGATTTTTGCATCTATATTTATTGAAGACGGCAGCCCATAGTTTTATTTTTTTTGCAGTGTCCTTATCTGGCTTTGGTATCAGAATAATGCTGGCATCATAAAATGATTAGAAGTATTCTCTTCTCTTCAATTATCTGGAAGACTCTGAGAAGGACTGATATTAGTTTTTCTTTAAATGTTTGGTGGAATTCAGCTGTGAAGCCATCAGTCCATGGGCCTTTCTTTGATGTGAAATGCTTTGTTACTGATTCAATCTCCTTACTAATTAATAGTCTGTTCAGATTTTTTATTTTATCATGAGTCAGTCTTGGTGGGTTGTGTACTTCTAAGAATTTATTTCTCTCCAGTTATTCACTTTGTTGGCATATAATTGTTTATAGTACTCTCTTATGATCCATCGTACTTTTGTGCCATCAGTTGCATTGTTTTTTTCTTCCTGTCTATTTTTTTTTCTTTTTTTTAGAAAGGGTCTCATTCTGTCACCCAGGCTGGAGTACAGTGGTACTATCACAGCCACTGCAGCCTCAACCCACCAGCCTCAGGTGACACTCCAATCTCAGCTTCCAAAGTAGCTAGGACTACAGGCATGCACCACCATGCCCAGCTAATATTTTTGTACTTTTTGTCAACACGGGGTTTCACCACGTTGCCCAAGCTGGTCTTGAACTCCTGAACTCAAGCGACCCACCCATGCTGGCCCCTCAAAGTTCTGGGATTACAGCCATGAGCTTCTGCACCCGGCCTCTTCCCTGTGCCTGGCCTCATCTTTTATTAGAGTCTTCTTTCTTTATTCCCTTAGTCTAGGTAAAGTTTTGTTAATTTTATCTTCCCAAACAACTGTTAGTTTGTTAATCTTTCTTATTTTTTCTTAGTCTTTCTTTCATTTATTTCTGACCTGATCTTTATTTTCTTACATATTCAAAAATGAAAAGTTGAAAGCTCTTCCTCTAAGATAAGAAATAAGACAGGCCGGGCACAGTGGCTTACGCCTGTAATCCCAGCACTTTGGGAGGCGGAAATGAGCAGATCACAAGGTCAGGAGATCGAGACCATCCTGGCTAACACGGTGAAACCCCGTCTCTACTAAAAATACAAAAAACTAGCCGGGCATGGTGGCGGGCACCTGTAGTCCCAGCTACTCGGGAGGCTGAGGCAGGAGAATGGCGTGAACCTGGGAGGCAGAGCTTGCAGTGAGCCGAGATTGTGCCACTGCACTCCACCCTGGGTGACAGAGCAAGACTCCGTCTCAAAAAAAAAAAAAAAAGAAATAAGACAAAAATACACTCTTGCCAATTCTGTTCAACATATACTGGATGTTCTAGCCTGACCAATTTGGCAAGAAAAAATTAATGGCCAGTCAAATCAGAAAAAAGCAAAATTGTCTTCATTTATAGAAAACATTATTTGTATATAGAAAACCCTAAAATTTCCACCCAAAAACTGTTGAAACTAACTTACGAATTAAATAACGTTTTCTCTTTTGCACTACCCTAGCAGAGGTTCTTTATGAGGCCACCACCCCTGCAGCATACCTCTGCCTGGGCATCCAGGCATTTTCATACATCCTCTGAAATCTAGGCAGAGGTTCCTAAACCTCAATTCTTGACTTCTGTGTACCCGCAGGCCCAATACCATGTGTAAACTACTAAGGCTTGGAACTTGCACCCTCGGAAACAACTACCCGAGCTGCACATTGGCCCCTATTAGCCAAAGCCTGGATGCAGAGCACCAAGTTCCGAGACTGCACAAAGCAGTAAGGCCCTGGGCTTCCTCCCAGCAAACCACTTTTTCCTCCTGCACCTTCCAGCTTGTGATGGGAGGGGATGCCATGAAAACCTCTGACATGCCCTAGAGACATTTTCCCCTTTGTCTAGGTGATTGACAATGGCCTCCTTGTTACTTATGCAAATTTCTGCAGCCAGCTTGAATTTCTCCTCAGAAAATTGGTTTTTCTTTTCTATTGCATCATCAGGCTGCAAATTTTTTGTAGTGTTATGCTCTGCTTTCTTTTTAAACGTTAAGTTCCAATTCCAAATTATATCTTTGTGGATACATAAAACTGAACGACTTTAACAACACCCAAGTCACTTCTTAAATGCTTTTCTGCTTAGAAATTTCATCTGCCAGATACTCTAAATTATCTCTCTCAAGTTCAAAGTTCCACAGATCTCTACAGCAGGGAAAAAATGCCACCAGTCTCTTTGCTAAAGCATAGGAAGAATCACCTTTGCTTCAGTTCCCAATACGTTTCTCATCTCCATCTGAGACCACCTCAGGCTGGACTTTTTGGTCAAAACCATTCAACAAGTCTCTAGGAAGTTCCAAACTTTCCTATATCTTTCTGTCTTTTTATGAGCCCTCCAAACTGTTCCAACCTCTGACTGTTACTGAGTTCCAAAGTTGCTTCCACATTTTGGGGTATCTTAATAGCAGTACCGCACTCTACTGTTACCAATTTACTGTATTAGTCCATTTTCATACTGTTGTGAAGAAATACCTGAGACCAGGTAATTTATAAAGAAAACAAGGTTTAATGGACTCACAGCTCCACATAACTGGGGAGGCCTCACAATTATGGTGGAAGGTGAAGGAAGAGCAAAGGCATGTCTTACATGGTAGCAGGCAAGAGAGCATGTGTAGGAGAACTGCTTTTTATAAAATCATCAGATCTCGTGAAATTTATTCACTATCACAAGAACAGCACAGGAAAAATCTGCCCCCATTATTCAATTACCTCCCACCGGGTCCCTCTCACAACACATGATGTTATGGGAGCTACAATTCAAGATGAGATTTTGGTGGGGACACAGCCAAGCCATATCACCATTAATAGATGATTGAATAAAGATAATGTGGCATACAGTCCTGTGTCCCTTAACACAGAGATACACTCAAGAAATGTGTTGATAAGCAATTTTGATGGTGTGCAAACATCATAGAGTTTACTGACACAAACTTTTGTGGTATAGCCTACTACAACCTAGACTATATGTTATAACCTATTTCCCCTAGGGTACAAATCTGTACAGCATATTTGTGTAGGCAGTTGTAGCACGATGATAAGTATTTGTGTACCTAAACATATCAAAACATAGAAAAATCTCAGTGAAAATATGATATAAAAGATAAAAAGTGGTACACCTGTATAGGGCACTTACCATGAATGAAGACTGCAGGACTGGAACTTGTTCTGAGCAAGTTAATGAGTGACTGGTGAGTGAATGTGAGGGCTTAGGACATTACTGTACACTACTGTAGACTTTGTAAACGATGTACACTTAGGTTAAATTAAAATTGTTTTTAAAATATTTTTTACTTCTCTAATAAATTAACCTTAGGTTACTATAACTTTTTTACTTTATATTTTTTTTAAATTTTCAAACGTTTTCACTATTTTGTAACTCTTAGCTTAAAATACAAGCATATTGTATGGCTACACAAGATATTTTCTCAAACCTTTATTCTATGAGTTTTTTCTCTAACAATTTTTAATTTTTTTTCTTTTACTTTTTAAATGTTTTGTTAAAAATTAAGACACAAACACACACATTATCCTAGGCCTACACAGGCAGGGTCAGGATACCCATTATCACTTTCTTCCACCTCCACATCTTGTCCTACTGGAATGTCTTCAGGGGAACAAGCAAGCAAGGAGCTGTCACCTCATATGGAAACAGTGCCTTCTTTTGGAATTCCTCTTTAAGGACCTGCCTGAGGCTACTTTATAGTTAACTTTCTTTTTCTGATAAGTAGAAGGAAACACTCTAAAATAATGATAAAAATTTACTGTAGTAAATACATAAACCACTAACTGTCATTTATTATCATTTCAAGTCTTGTGTACTATACATAATGGCCTATGATATACATTTATACAACTGGCAACGCGGTAGGTTTGTTTATACCAACATTACCACACACAAACACGTGTGTAATGTATTGCACTAAAACATTAGAACAGCTACTACGTTACCAAGTGATAGGAATTTTTCACTTCCTTTATAATCTATGGAACAGTGATAATGTATGCAGTTCACTGTAGAACAAAATGTCATTATGTGGCACATGACTGTATATACACAATTCAATACCATTCGGCCTCTAAAAAAAGGAAATGCTATCATTTGTGACGACAATATGGATGAACTTGAAGCCAGCCACAGAAAGACAAACACTGCATGATCTCACTTACATTTTTTACAACTAAAAAAATTGATCTCATAGAAGCAAAGAGTAGAATGCTAAAGGTGGGGGCTTGAAGAGATATTGATCAAAAGATACAAAATTTCAGTCAGACAAAAGGAGTAAGTTCAGGAGATCTAATATACAACATATTAACATAGTTAATAGCAATGTATTATATGCTTGAAAATTGCTGAGAGTAGAATTTAAATGTTTTCATTTAAAAACCAAAAAAAATGCAAGAGAATGGATAAGTTAATTAGCTTGATTTAGTCATTCCACAATGTGTATATATATATCTGAAAATATTATGCTGACACAACAAATATTTACAATTTTTATTTGTAAATTTGAAATACATAGAATGAAAACAGAAAATATAGAAAAAGAAAAAATATATATTTGTGTGTATATATATTACCTAGTGTAATAGTTCGAGAGTTTTTTTGGTTTTTTTTGTTTGTTTGTTTTGTTTTTCCCTGAAGATCTCCTTCTAGGTGAATTCCATCCATCCAGTTACTCCACTGTGGTACGTCATACCTCTCTAGATTTGCAACACAGATGATTTCATGAGACTCCCCTTCATCACTGTCCTGAGTTGTTTCCACTGTTTTCTCCAATATGTCTTCAATCTTTGCTGTTTTATCCCCCAGTTCCACTGGTGGCAGAAGTGGGGGAGGATCCTGAATATACGGTCAAAAGTAGATAAGTCTCCCTATTTTATTTGTTTTCTTTCAGACTGTGATGTTGACCCTCTGATTTGTAGTCTTTCTTTTTTAAACTTCTCTTTGTATTCAATATTTGAAGACATTTCTTCATTATCCTGTTTCTATCTTTCTAGTAGATTATTTATTTAACTATTAATATTTTAATACTAAAACACTATTTATTCTCTGATTTATCCTTTTCTTGGCCTTGTTTGTTTATTTTGCTGTTATTTTTAAAGATTTTCTTCTGAATTACATCTCTATCCTAATGGGGTATTTTCCTAGTTTATACTGTTTTTCCTATGTAGTAATAATGAGAACTCTCTTGTGACTCTTGAGTCCTCATTTTTATTTAAAATTAGAAAATACAAAGACTTACTCCAAATATTGTTCAACTTGTCAACTAGCAGGTCTCACTTTAGAGTGAGTGAGTTAATGAAGAGATGGGGTAACAGTGTCTGTGAGCTCAGTCTTCCCCTTAATAGCAGCTAGCTTTCACTTAAGACTTTTACTTTCACTCAGTTTCATCAGTTAACTTTCTCTTTTCTGGTTCTGTGTCTTTGGATTACTTCTTCTCATTCTCTGTATTACAATTTCCCCCTAATTTCTTTTTTTTTTTTTCTTTTTGAGACAGAGTTTCGCTCTTGTCTCCCAGGCTGGAGTGCAATAGTGCAATCTCGGCTCACCGCAACTTCCACCTCCTGGGTTCAAGTGATTCTCCTGCCTCAGCCTCCCGAGTAGCTGGGATTACAGGCATGGGCCACCATGCCCGGCTAATATTGTATTTTTAGTAGGGATGGGGTTTTTCCATGTTGGTCATACTGATCTTGAACTCTTGACCTCTGGTGATCCGCCTGCCTCAGCCTCCCAAAGTGCTGGGATTACAGGCTTGAGCCACCACACCTGGCAGGAATTTTCCTCTAATTTCTAACAGTTTAATGAGAACTCTTGAGAGAAGGAAGGACAATGGTACATGTGCCTAGTCAGCTTCATGAATTCGATGCCTTTGAAATGTCTAAAGTCTAACTCAGATCCCATTTGCTACCTACAGTCACTCCAGAAAAGTATAGTCTACCTTAGTTTCTTTTAGCCTCTGAACATCAATAGCATCTATAATTAGCACATGTATTTTGATGTTTGTAGCTGTATATGGAGAGGTGTGGGTATGCATCTCAGAATTCTGACTACAGTTTGTCTTAGTATTTTTATCTCCATAAGTAGTTACAAGATCTTCGAGGCATTCATAATGTAGGACTCCTATGCTTACTTTGTAATTTCCTCCTCTAAGAACCTCATAATATATGGTGCTTCAGAAAAATGTAGATAATCAAAAAATACTACCTTACAATTGATATAAATGGTTTATGATTCCACATATTACATAAGAGCTGCACAATTGTAGGAAATTTCACTTGGCATATCTCCAACCTGGACAGTATTTACTATAGTTGTCAATAGTATGCTAAATAGCACCTTTTCTCTTATACGCCCAATACTCTTCTCCTCATTAGGTACCTTATAATCTCCCCACATCCTTGTAGATATTTGATTCGTTATTTGTCCTCCCAAAATGCAAATGTAGCTTTTCTCTAAGGTGTTATATCATCTTTGAATAACTTCATACACTTAATTTATTTGTAATGTCATTTTACTTAAATTCATTCCTTTCAATATATATAGAAGGTAGCTATTTGTTGTTTTATGCTGTTCTTGATGCAGTAATACCACTAGCATCATTAGAACCATAAGCAGGAGTTCAATACATGCTTTTTGAATGAAATCAATTTGTTGAACAGAAAATTGAGCAAACAGTAAGGATGAGATGCTGTTAATGGTGAAAATGTCATATTTTAAATGTTTCCATTCCTCTCCATACAAAACCTACTGATTTCACAAAGCCACACCCACTCCTTGTCTATGCTCTGGGCTCTACAGACAGTGTTACCTTAGTCAGAGCACTGACTCTAAAAATTCCTGAGGTCAGTGTAAATAAACTCTGCCTTTGATACGGTGTGTTAGTTTCCTAGGGCTTTCATAGCAAATTATTACAAACTTAGTTGCTTAAAACACAGAAATCTATTCTCGTAGTTCTGGAGGTCAGAAGTCTGAAATCAAGGTGTCAGTGGGGGCATGTTTTCTCCAGAGGTCTAGGAAAAATTTGTTCTTCATTTCTTCCAGCTTCCAATGGCTATGAGCATTCCTTCTCTTATGGTTACATTACTCCAATCTTTGCCATTATGCTCATATTGCATCCCTGTGTTCTGTCTTGTGTGTGTCTGTTAGAAGGAAACTTATTGGATTTAAGGCCCACCTGGATAATCTATGATAATCTCTTCATTTAAGACGTAACTAATTATATCTGCAAAGACTCTTTTTCCAAATACAGTGACATTCACAGATTTCAGGGATTAAGGTGTGGACTATCTTTTTGAGGGCCAACATTCAACTCACTTGACCCTGGTATTGTTTACTAAACACTCTCTTTTTTGTTATTTGGTAAATGCATAGGTAGGTGTTCATCTACTTTAGCAATGCTGAATCAGAAGGGAACCTGCAATATATTTTTGAAAGGAACATAAAGGTAGGGGAAAGGGTCCTCAATTTCTTTCTAGATTAATTTCTGCATTGCCATAAATTGAGAGGTATCATTGCTAGCTATTTTTCTAATCTCCCCTTCAATATGACAGGAAATGGTAAAGAACTTTACATTGCTTTCTGCCCCAAGCCTCCCACCAAGATATTTCACTACAGAAAATTCTATACTTGAGCAAATAAGATCTTCTCAGTTTCTTTCCCTCTCAGCTCATTTTCTGTTCTGTCATATTTTAATTTTAATCTCACTTTGCTTTCAATTTGAACAAATGATTCTTATAATAACTGTGTTAGTCATCACAGA
Organism: Homo sapiens; assembly: GCF_000001405.40. Classification (NCBI taxonomy): domain Eukaryota; kingdom Metazoa; phylum Chordata; class Mammalia; order Primates; family Hominidae; genus Homo; species Homo sapiens. The sequence goes on along the minus strand of NC_000004.12, from coordinate 132,383,959 downwards.
CTAACAATTTTGACTAACAATACAAACTGACATAACAGTAAAAAAAAAGCAGTTTATTTCTTACAACATTCTTTAATGTGAATCAGTAGTTTGATGTCTGGTGTAGTAAAGCAATTCACCTAGTATTTCAAAATGTCTTGTGACAGCTTTATTTTGGATTATCATTCCAAAGATGTTTATATAGCAAAAGGTTTAAAAGCTAGCAATTGTCTCTCTCTCTCTGAGTCACAGGGCAAATGTGAAGCCTAATAAGATAATAAAGATAATTCCTCTTTCCAGAGCAGAGAATGGACCAATTTGTTATCAGCTTCCTTGTAAGATTGGGCGTTTCCTAAACTCAATGTTTCTCAGCTATGATGCAGACCCAGTGTGCACAGCATCTTCCTGGGTTTTCCTTCTGGGCATGCTTTGCCTCCACATTACCCTTTTGGGACTTGGAGAGCAAAGAAACTCATGAGAATATAGCACTCATGCTATTTTCTGTACCATAGGTAATACATTTTCTTTTATTTATTTATTGAGATGGACTCTTGCTCTGTCGCCCAGGCTGGAGTGCAGTAGTGTGATCTTGACTCACTGCAACCTCCACCTCAGCCCCCTGAGTAGCTGGGATTACAGGCATCCGCCATCATCCCTGGCTAATTTTTGTATTTTTAGTAGACAGAATTTTGTCATTTTGGTTAGGCTGGTTGCAAACTCCTGGCCTCAGGTGATCCGCCCACCTCAGCCTCCCAAAGTGCTGGGATTACAGGTGTGAGCCACCACTCCCGGCCAGTAATATACTTTCTAAATCCACTTTAGTTTATCGTCTCCTTACTGGCCAGACCTACGGAAGTGTGGCAACCAACTAGCAGCGGCCACCGTGCACCACTAGCAGCTGCATGACACTTGGGAAGTGTCTTTTCTTCATGCAAGTATTCGGATACCCAGGTTTCTTCCATATAGTTAGTCTAACATTTTTAGGACCTAATAGCGCTTCACTAGACTGTTCATCCACCTCGCATATTAAAAGAAAGAAAAAGAGAAAATGGGAAGAGAGAAGTTAGGAGCACATCTTGAAAATAAGCACATCACTTTCACCAGTGTTTTATTGAGCACTATAAAGTCACATAGTGACCACAGTGACATATGTGGAAGTTGGAATATATTATCTAGTAATGCATCTGTGACAGAGAAAAGAGGGATATTTGTAAGTAGCAGTCTCTCTCATCGTCTTTACTGGATATTATCAGAAATACCCTCTTCTAAGACCTATATGCTGCAAAATGTGTCAGTCTGAAGGCAAAGCTTAATGAATTATTTATAATAACTACTGATATGATTTGGCTGTGTACCCACCTTAATTTCATCTGGAATTGTAGTTCCCATAATCCCAATGTGTTGTGGGAGGGACCAGGTGGAGGTAACTGAATCATGGGGGTGATTACCACCATGCTGCTCTTGTGATAGTGAGTGATATCTCATGAGATCCGATGGTTTTATAAAAGGCTTGTCCCCCCTTCGCTCTGCACTTCCCTATTTCTACTGCACTGTGACAAAAAGTGTGTTTGCTTCCCCTTCCACCATGACTCTAAGTTTCCTGAGGCTTCCCCAGCCCTGCACAAATGTGAGTCAAATAAACCTCTTTCCTATATAAATTACCCCATCTTGGATATGTCCTTATAGCAGTGTGAGAATGGACTAATACAGTAAATTGGTACCACAGAGAGTGGGGTGCTGCTATAAAGATACCCAAAAATGTGAAAGCAACTTTGGAACTGGGTAACAGGCAGAGTTTGGAACAGTTTGGAGGGCTCAGAAGAAGATAGAAAAATGCTGGAAAGTTTGGAACTTCCTAAAGACTTGGAGGGTTCAGAAGACAGGAACACACGAGACAGTTTGGAACTTCCTAAAGACTTGGAGGGCTCAGAAGACAGGAAGATGTCAGAAAGTTTGGGACTGCCTGGAGACTTGTTGAATGTCTTTAACCAAAGTGCTAATAGTAATATGGACAATAAAGTCCAGGCTAAGGTGGTCTCAGATGGAGATGAGGAACTTGTTGGGAACTGGAGCAAAGGTGACTCCTGCTATGCATTAGCAAAGAGACTGGTGACATTTTTCCCCTGTCCTAGATGTTTGTGGAACTTTGAACTTGAGAGAGATGATTTAGGGTATCCGGCAGAAGAAATTTCTAAGCAGCAAAGCATTCAAGAGGAAGCAAAGCCTAAAAGTTTGGAAAATTTGCAGCCTGATGTGATAGAATAGAAAAACTCATTTTCTGGGAAGACATTCAAGGTGGCTGCAGAAATTTGTATAAGTAATGAGAAGGCAGATGTTAATCACCAAGTCAATGGGGAAAATGTCTCCTGGGCATGTTAGAGGCCTTGGCGGCAGCCCCTTCCATCACAGACCTAGAGGCCTTGGAGGGAAAAATGGTTTCGTGGACCGGGCCCAGGCTCCTTCTACTGTGTGCAGCCTTGGGATTCGGTGCCCTAAGTCCCAGTCACTCCACTCATGGCTAAAAGGGGCCAAGGTACAGCTCATGCTGTTGCTTCAGAGGCTGCAAGCCACAAGCCTTGGCAGCTTCCATGTGGTGTTGAGCCTGCTGGTATACAAAAGTCATGAATTGAGGTTTGAGGCCCTCCACCTAGATTTCAGAGGATGAACGGAAATGTCTGGATGTTCAAGCAGAAGTTTGATGCAGGGGCAGAGACCTCATGGAAAACCTCTGCTAGGGCAGTGCAGAAGGGAAATGTGGAGTCAGAACCCCCAAAGAGAGTGACCACTGGGGCACTGCCTAGCAGAGTTGTAAGAAGAGGGCCACTATCCTCCAGACCCCAGAATGTTAGATCCACCAACAGCTTGCACCTTGTACCTGGAAAACTCACAGACACCAATGCCAGCCCATGAAAGCAGCCAGGAAAGGAACTGCACCATGCAAAACCACAGAGGCTAGGTTGCCCAAGGCTATGGGAGTCTATCACTTGCATCAGGGTACCTGGATGTGAGACATGTTGTCAAAGGCGATCATTTTGGAACTCTAAGGTTTAATGACTGTCCCACTGGATTTCAAACTTCATGGATCCTGTAGCCCTTTTGTTTTGCTCAATTTCTCCCATTTGGATGGGTGTATTTACCCAATACATGTACCCCCATTGCTTCTAGGAAGTAACTAACTGGATTTTGATTTCACAGGCTTATAGGTGGAAGGGACTTGCCTTGTCTCAGATGAGGCTTTGGACATGGACTTTTGAGTTAATGCTAGAATTAGTTGAGACTTTGGGGGACTGTTGAAAGGGCATGATTGTGTTTTGAAATGTGAAGACATAAGATTTGGGAGGGGCTGGGGTGGAATGACATAGTTTGGCTGTGTCTCCACCCAAATCTCATCTGGAATTGTAGTTCTTATAATCCCCACATGTCGTGGGAAGAACTAGGTAGAGGTACTTGAATCATTGGGAGGTTACCTCCATGCTGACCTCATCATAGTGAGTGAGTTCTCATGAGCTGATGGTTTTATAAGGGGCTTTCCCCCACCTTCACTCTGCACTTTTGCCTGCTGCCACCATGTGAAGAAGAACATGATTACTTTACCTTCCCCCAAAATGGTAAGTTTTCTGAGGCCTCCCCAGCCCTGCAGAACTGTAAATCCAATTAAACCTCTTTACTTTATAAATTACTCAGTCTCAGGTATGTCCTATAGCAGTGTGAGAATGAACTAACACAAGTATATTTTGATGCAATCTCAATTTCAAGACACCTATGTGTCTTAAATCTCACTTTAAACCTTTTTATCTATTAAATCTTGTGTTTTATTTTTCTAGGTCTGATCAACCTGTTCCCAAGCTCTGACAATTTTTAACCTCCATCAGCACCTTCAATCCATTGATTATCTTACATTTTCACTTTCTTTACACTCCTCACTCTCACTGCTATATTCTTCTGTCATCATTAGAGTAAACATATTTAGAAATACTTTAAAACTCACTGTGCATTTTCTTTTATGTTGTCTCTTAATTCAAGCCTACCTAGTGTTCACCCCATGGTCATTCTACCACATAAGGTTTTTGTTAAGATTATATTAAAAAAAAAAAAAAAAGAAAAAACCTTCACGTTGGAAAATGCACAGCTTCTTTTCAGTTCTAATCTTACTCAAACTTTTAGCAACATTTAGCATTGAATGTCACTTCTTCCGCCTTGAATCACTGTCTTCTCTTAACTTCTAACACAGCATTTCAGTATTTCTCTCCTTCATTTATTACCAGTGTACACAATGTTTCATTCTTGCCTCTCTTAACTCTAAATATTGGAGAGACCAGGATTCAGTGTTTTGCCCTCTTCTCTTTTCTCACCACAATTATTGCTGGCAATCTTGTCCTATTATTTCAAATATGCCACCTTCCATAGTGATAATCTGCAAATTTATCACTTAAGCCTGGACGAATTTCATGAATCCCAGACTCACATATACAGCATCTGCAATTGATACCTGCATTTGAATGTGTAACAAACATGGCTCTAATTAAAATATTGGCCCTTCCCTCCAAACCTGCTTTTCTATTTCTTCTAATCCATGTAAAATATGGCTACTATGTTGTTTTTGTTTTTTGAACCTGGAATCTCTAACTTATCCTTGACTACTCTCTTTTTCTCATATTAAATATCCCATTTAAACAGAAATCTTGTTCACACTTTAAAAATATTTCCAAAATAAAAAAAAAAAAAAAGTAAGAAACCTGCTTTTCTTCTAACTACATTTCCAATATTCTACTTCCAAATATTGGATCATAAGCCAATCCAGTATTAGTCAACTATTTGGATAATTAAAATTATTGAGAATGATATCCCTCTTTCTTTCTTTGCTCCTCAATTATTTTTATGTTATTTATTTTTATTTTTATTTTTTTCGGACGGAGTCTCACTCTGTCGCCCAGGCTGGAGTGCAGTGGCACAATCTCAGCTCACTGTAAGCTCTGCCTCCCGGGTTCATGCCATTCTCCTGCCTCAGCCTCCCGAGTAGCTGAGACTACAGACGCCCGCCACCACGCCCGGGTAATTTTTTTTTTTGTATTTTTAGTAGAAACATAGTTTCACCATGTTAGCCAGGATGGCCTTGATCTCCTGACCTCATGATCCGATCACCTCAGCCTCCCAAAGTGCTGGGATTACAGGCGTGAGCCACCGTGCCTGGCCTGCTCCTCAATTCTTAATAAAAACAACTAGAGTAATTCCTTAGAATAATAAAGCATATCTTTTAACTTTTTTGCTTAGAATCCTCTATTGTATTTCCATTGTATTCAGCTAAACTCATAAAACTAAAATGGTTTATAAATCTCTTCATAAGGCCCTAATTATCTATATGATTCTATTTCATTATTTGGTGACCCGTTACCCCTTCTCAAGCCATACTACTCTAGCCAATGCCTTATTATTTTGTTATCATGCCCGACATTCTACCACTTGAGGTACTTTGCTCTTCCTTTTGCCTAGAAAAATATTGCTTTGGTTAGCTGCATTACTTATATCCTCTACTCTATAAAGTTGATGATAATATGACACCTTTTTAATTATGTTTTTCTTGACATCTTGTTTGAATTTTAGCTCATTTCTAGGCACTTTCCTTCCCTTTTTACTATTCACTTTTTATCCATAGCGATAACTATCATCCAAAGTACATATTACATATTTGCTTTGTTGTCTATATTCCATATAAAAATATAGCCTCCCTGAGGTCAGAAATGAATTTTTTTCATGTCTATACATGACAAATATGTGATGCTTACTAAATAATTGTTGAATGGAAGGATTTTTCAAATGTTGGGATTTATGTGAAAATTACTGTCCATTAGATTTTTAATTTTTATTTTAAATTTAAAAAATCAATATATATAGAAGAAAATACATGACACATAACAAAAAAAAATAGGAGCTTAACCTTCATGTTAGTGGATTTTTAATTACAATTGAGAAATAAATGTAAAAACTCTAAGTGAACTTATACATTTCTGAGGATGCTAATGTTTTTGCAAGTCAACATTGATTTTAATTGTACTACATTCCATAATTACAAACAAGTGAGATTCATCATGGAAAACATACTCAATTTACTATTCTCATGAGTATATGTTTTTGTTATTACAAAATAGATACATTTTGGTTTCTACAGTGTTTCCAAACTCCCAACTTAGCCTTCTAGTGAACTTTAGGGAAGATTTTGATGTGAAAATGTGCAATTTTAATCATCGCTCTATGAAACATTAAAAGTGAAGTTAACTTATAGGGAAAGGGAATAATGCATTGGAGTTCAGATTAAAAAGAAACATATTGGAGGTAAACTAGACAATTGATCAGTGTTCAGAGTTTCCATTTACTGTATAAAGTATATCCACAAATAAAACAACTCATTTATTTTTTTCTTAAAGTCATCAGTTTTCATTAAGTGTTTAAAGTCTATCTTATTTTAAGCAATATATGATAATTAGCGTATTTTTGACCTCTGGCTTTATGAACAAAATGCAATGAAGTATAAAGTTAAAGCAATGTCTTAATTATCTTAAAGTAAACAGAAAAAGTACAAACTTGAAATGACATTTTTGTCCAAATAGCTCAAATAATGGTTTCAGAAATCTCCAACCCATGGTTATTATAAAACTAAATTTTAACAAAAATGGGCTGGGAGCAGTGATTCACACCTGTAATCCCAGCTCTTTGGGAGGTCAAGGTGAGCAGATCACTTGAGGTCAAGAGTTTGAGAATATCTTGGCAAACATAGTGAAACCCTCTCTCTACGGAAAATCAAATAATAACCTCACTCCATATTTAATATCTTAAACTATCTTTCTTAACAAAATGTTTTGTTCATTAAAATATTTTTTGTGAAACTTCAATGTATATAAATGTAATTATGATGTAAAAATTTTCTCCTTTCTATGAGATTTTGCCCTTCTCATGGCCTTAAAAAAAAATCTAGTGCACCCAGACACTTAGAATTCTCAACATGGACCTAAGTGTGTATATTTGTTAAACATAACTTCACTCTTTTTTTTTCTTTTGCACAGATTTATAACCAAGGGCAGAAACCTGGGGAAAGCAGAATTCTTGCTCTGGAATTTGTAATTGGATCACCCAGTGAATGACCAATGATATTTGGACTGAATTGCTATAGTGACCTGTCAGATCAAAGAGAATTGAGAAGTTTGAAAACCAAAGCTATTTTCAAGTTAGTTTTGAAGAAATAACAACAAAGAGGCTTGAGGAGTAACACTGGTCTTCAAAGAGAAGTGTGCATCAGTTGTATAGGAAAACACAAAAATAATAAACTATAGAGCAAATAAGAGGAAATAATTAGTTGCCTGATTTTCCATTTTTCATTTGGCCTGGCTAAACTTCCTGATTTGGGATTTTATAAGACTTCTGTGTATGTTTTATTATAAATTTCTATTTATTTTGGCAAATTTAAGTGATTTTGTGACCCTTGATTTAGAATCTATTGTTTTTTTTCTCCGTTTGTCATTTTACTTAAGACAAACTTTAACAGAACCTTATCACAAGCTTCATACAGCAGGTTTCTTGCCATCTACTCTGAAGTTTTCTTGTGATGCTGAATAGAGGGGCGTGATGATAGACTCTTGGTAGACATTCATTCATTTGGCTTACCTGAACAGACATGAATTCTATGGCTTTCACTGAGGAGGCCTCTACTGTTGTATTTGGATATCAGTTTCCAGCCAGATGTTAGGAAAACCAGACTGTAACTTCTAGAGGTGCAGAGGAGTTATGACCCAATGAGTCCTGAGCAATGGAGGATTGGTAGCAGTAGATAAGCTCTTATTTTTGTCTCCATAATTCATGGACTATTTCAAAAAGCAATATGCCTCCTTGAAGACCTCCAATGAGACCAAACACACTTGTTACAAAGCTATATTCTGTGTTCACCATTTCCTGGCTTTACTTTCTTCATCTTCCCCTCCTGCTTCTTTGGGATTTTATTATTCAATGAAGTGCTAGCAGATATGATTTTGCTTCAAGCTCTCTTTTCTAGGGAAACTGGAAAAATATATTAATCAAAATTAATATTGCGTTAGTGAACCCTAATGTAATAATGTGAACTGTAGATTTGGGGATATAATGAATTATCAGGGTAGGTTCATCAGTTGCAATGAATACACCACTCTGGTGGGAAATATTGATATTGTGGGAGGATATGCATGTGTAGGGGCAGGTGGTATATATAAAATTTCTGTGTCTATCTCTCAGTTTTGCTGTGAGTCCAATACTACTCTAAAAAATAAAGTGTTTTTTAAAAAGCGTATCCTTGAGATTGTTAATTGAATGGATAGTCACCATTATTGCTGCCACTCCATGAGGATTATATATTTTCACTTTGCTGAACTCTGGAATGCCCATGATTTGCTTTTCCATTGAAATGTAAGTAAAAATAAAATATGCACTTTCAGGAAGAAGCTGTGAGAGCCAGCAAATGCTTTGACATGTTCTCCTTTCTCTCTGCCATGATGATGACAATTCTTCAGATAAAGTCTGTTTTGTCAGCCTGAGTCCAGAAAGAAAGGCATTATACAGATCACAACCATGGCCAAACTACAATGAATCTCCAATATGAGAAAGAGACAAACCTTTGGTTTTTTTTCAGCCCCTGATATTTTTGCACATATAACCTAGTTTATATGGACAGAAATTAATATCATAAGTCATTTTTGCCTTAACCTAAACATGCAAACCAAAGAATATAGAATTGGCTTTGGAGCAAAATAGAACGTAATGAGGAAACTGTTATTGGAGGATAGAAGGAGGACAATTCATGTTATTCTATGGTTTTAATGTGGTAAAACTGACGTGCTATGTAATTTGGAAAGTAAATAGTATACCTAATAAGTGCGTAACTTAAAACGAAGTGTAGGAAACAGAACAGTAAAAGAGGAATGAAAGGAGCACATGTTAGATCAGCAAAAATTCTTGTAAGAGGAGAAGCAACTAATTTTCTCTCACAATCAATAAGAAATAATATTGAGAAATTTATTAAACATTAAAGGCATACCAAACTCAGTCTTGTGGTAAAGACTAAATTATGCCATGTCCATTTACCCGTGATTAAAATATCATAAAAATTTAAATACTTTCAATTAGACAAAAACGCCTCAGGAAAACTGCCTCTTCTGAGGAAGCTACATAATCTCAAATTATCTGAATATAGGTTTAGAGAGAAAGGCCTATCTTCAAGAGCTTTGGGAGTATGGATTTTGGAACATAAACCTTATTGGAATAATTTTTTAAAGGCTACAAAATGAGTGAGAGTGTACTTTGAAAAGAGCCATCTCATGGACTCAGAGACTGACCATTTAATTTCTAAAACAATATTTGGGTCCCAAACTTTCTATGATAAGAGGAAAGAAAAGGAGCTGTTTGACCACCAAGAAGGGTGAATTATCCAGTGCTTTCTTCAGATGTAACCAAAATAGAAAGTGAAAAAAAGAAAAGAACTTCCAGAGTGTGGAGCTAAGAATGGCAGGGAAAAAAAATGAATGGGAAAAATATTTCCAGGTAGTGCTATCAGAGTTTAATCAAGGAGCATTTCCTATTACTGAGGGTGGATTACTGAACAACAAAATTCTGAACAACAGAATTTTAGCATTTTTATAAACAGAGGAATACTGTGTGCCTTCCATTCCTTCTTTATTTGAGAATGGGTTTGTTAACTGTGATTATCTTATCCGAGGCCCACTCTTGTTTATTAAAAGTATGGGGTGGGGCAAATAACTTTGCTTTTTCTCTTATAGGATTATGTATTCAAAATGCACTCCCAAACCTGAGCAAATTACTATATCTACCCTTATATCATGTGCTTTCAGAACAAAGCATTCTGCCTAGATGGGATCATGGTTATAGGGAATGAAGATATAGGGGTTATAATCTGTCAGTGGGAGGGGGAAGGAACCAAATATTTGGAGACCAAAGGTATGTACTTTTATAAACTGTATATTCTTCACAAATATCCCATTCCCCTTTCAATGGGAGGAATATACATCACTACCATGTTAAACTCAGATTGTCTATGAAGATGGCATGTGCCACTTCTAGTCAGAAACTTTAAGGTCCAGTGCAGGGTTTCCATTTTACTTTTTTCTGCTGCTGTGATTATGGAAGCATTTGATAAGATTTAACCTTCTTGGCCCTCATTGGTGAGAGCCCAAGATAAACAGAGGCCCATGTATTGACATCTCACATAAGAAAGAGAGAAACTTCACTGCTGAGATGTTTCAGGTGGTTTCTTATTGCGACACAGTCTAACCAATCCTAAGTCACTCCATCCCTCCCCTCTCCTGTGTTCCTTATTAAAAATAATAAAAGCCATTTATATTTAATAAACCCTCTTTAGAGGATGTAATTAAAGTCTGGTCAGGGTAAATTTAATTATTATTATAAGACAAACATAGTGATCCTATTACTCTCATCAGTGATTGCTTTCTTCTTGGGCATTTGACAATATTCTAGTTAATGACTTACAAGGAAAATTGGCTCAGGGTTCTCAAAATGTTGCCTCTTTTAAAAATGAGACACATACGGTCTGGATACATGTTGGGTGTTCTACTATGGTATCCTTCTAGATACATTCCCACATCTTGCCCCCCCATATAAGTTGCTAAGAACTCTGGCAGTAATCTTGCACACATAAGTAAAGTTAATAAAAATTTAAAGCCAGTAGCACTGATGAGCATGGTAGAGCAAAAGGTGGAAGGATACTGGCTGCTTTATAATCTTGTTGACCCATTGTATTGATTAACCAACTCAAGAACTGTTGTAACATGACCCTTTTTCTTATGTAAGTCAAAAGGTATGTGTTAATTAAACAATGTAGATTAGGATTTAGTTTATTTTGACTGATACAAAGACATGAGATTAAAAAGAGTCCTTCCACTATATTATAAAAAAAATTAAAAGTGAAAATTGTTTTAAGTATTCTATGTGGTCTTATAAATGATAAATGCATGAATCTTATTTATCTATTAAAACAGTATACAAATTCATTTCTACTATCATACAATTAAAGATAAATTGATACTTCAAACTAGAAACCATCAAATTATTGGTAAGTAGGAACTACATTGAACATAATAGTTAATACTTTCTAATACTTTTGAAAACAATTATCAAGTTATCGTTTGTTAATTATTGTTTAATAATTTGATAATTACTGTTGTTTTACTGTTTGATAATTTTTAATTATAAATTCCATGAAATCATAGGTTTCTTGGTGAGAAATAAATATATGTGTTTTACGTATAGGGAAAAATTTTTGCTGTTTAACAACTAAACAATCTGGGTGAACTCTAGTGTCTTCATTAACATTGGTGTCTCTCAGCAGTTCTTTGATTATTTAACTATTAAGAGATGAGAAGAAAGGTAGAATACATTCGGTTGGCTAGCCTATAGACAGGGTTGTATTCGACTAAGGGACATCATACATAAGCATAAATAAAGTACAAAAATACCATAGTATTTCTCTCTTTGGCTCTCTATGTTTATGTTTGTGACATAGGTACTGTCTCTTTGTGGTGTGGTGTGTGTGTGTGGTGTGGTGTGATGTGCTGTGCTGTGGTGCATGTGTGTGAGTGAGAGAGTGTGTATGTGTGAATGTGTGTTTGTGAGTAGAGAAAAGGAGTGGAGAGGAAGAAAGCAGAGCTAGTTCTTGCAGGTTCTGTTGATGAACTATTATGTAAACTGCCAGCTAGTTGACTCTGGCCAATGGGAGACCCTAAGAGAAGACTGAAGGGTGCACTGCAGGGAGAAGCCAAGACACTTCTTTGTTCCCCTTGACTTAAGGAAGCCTCTCTTGAAGCAGCACCGCCCTTTCCTCTATGGCGTTTGCTAAAAACTGGATAAATCCAACTACAGCCTGGAAATCCTAATAGCCAAATCAGATAATATAGCTTCTTCGTCTTTGCTCCTCATCCTTGGGATATTGACTCCCTCCTGTTGTTGATGTCTAGATTGCTTCGTAGTTTCAAGGTTGCTTAACTAATTAGTTAATAGTTAAAATTCCTGTGATTCAATCCCATCTTTTGATATACACAGAGTGGTTTCTGTTTTTCTGGTTAGGCTCTGACTGACATCATGACTTACAAAATTACACATGGTGGAAGTTATTTGTACTGATCTGACTGATCTGCCACTATTCTTTTCTTAACATAACATATTCTTCTCAACTCAGTCTTATCCTTCTTTCCTTTTTTCTCCTTTTCTTCCTTACTTTATTTTTTATTTAATTTTCCCTGTTGCTAAAATATACTGAGCATATTCCTACCATAAGGACTTTTAATTTGCTAATTTCATGGCTTCAAATAATCTTCCTAAATTTGTTTTGCCATTCTTATTATCTCTTATATCTCAGATCAAATAGTAACCTCACAGAGACTTACTCTTAATGAAGTATCTAATGCCCCACACCAACACACAATTGAGGGTCATCCTACTTTGATATATCTTTCTAATATATTGCTATACATAATGTACTGCTTTGCTTAGAGGTGTAAGACCATTATGGCAGAAATGTATCTCTTAACTTTGGTATCCCAAATGCCCAGAAGAACGCTTAGCACACCGTAAGTGTCACCGTAGAGGGTTGTGACTCTAAGTTGTCCAGGTTCTTGGCATTTTGAACAAAGGATTGGACAAAACGCCCAGCAAAGCAAAGAAAGAATGAAGCAACAAAAGAACGAAAGCAGGGATTTATTGAAAATGAAAGTACACTCCACAGTGTAGGAGCAGACCCAAGCAGTGGCTCAAGGTCCCAGATACAGAATCTTCTTAGTTCCAAATACCCCTTAGAAGTTTCCCATTGTCCACTTTATGCTCACCTCGTGTAACTGCAGTGGTAGCCCGCAATCAGTCTGATTGGTTGCAGACAGCAATGGTATATATATACATATGTGTGTATGTATGGTATATATATACATATGTGTATATATGGTATATATATACACATACCATATATATGTATATACGTATATAAACATGCATACCATATATATGGTATGCATATATATACACATATCTATATATGTATATATACACATATATACACATATTATATATATGGTGTGTATGTATATATACACATGCTATATATATAGTAGGCATATATATACATACCATATATATGTATATATACACCATATATATGTGTATATATATACCATATATATATACACACACACACACACACAAATTATTTTAACCAAAGGAGTGGCAGATCTATAGAAGGAAAACTATTAAACACTGATGAAAGAAATTGAAGAAAACACACAAAAATGTGGAAAGATATTCCATGCTCACAGATAGAAAGAATTAATATTGTTAAAATGTCAGTAATAGAGTAATTAACAAATTCAATGCAATTTTTTGAAAATACCAATGATATTTAAATTTTTTTAAAAAATTCTAAAATTTATATGGAACCACAAAATACCCCAAATAGCCAAAGTGATCCTGAGGAAAAAAAAAAAAGTTGGAGGCATCACACTACCTCACTTCAAAATATACAAAGCTATAGGAACCAAGTTACCATGATACTAGTATAAAAACAGACACACAGACCAATGGAACAGATTAGAGAGCCCAGATGTGAATCCACAAATTTATAGAGAACTCATTTTTGACAAAGGCAACAAGAACATACACTGGGGAAAGGACACCCTCTTCAATAAATGATGCTGGGAAAATTGGATAGCCATATGCCGAAGAATGAAACTAGACCCCTATCTCTCACCATATACAAAGATCAAATCAAAATGGATCAAAGACTTATATCTACATCCTAAAACTACGAAACTACTCGAGGAAAACATTAGGGAAATGCTCCAGGACATTGGTCTGGACAAAGATTTTTTGTGTAAGATCTGAAAATCATAGGCAACAAAAGCAAAAGACAAATGAAATTACATTAATCAAAAAAGCTTCTGAAGAGTAAAGAAAACATACAACAAAGTGATCACCTACAGAATAGAAGAAAATATTTGCAAACTATCAATTTGATAAAAGATTAACATAGAATATATATATATCAGAATATGCATATATAACATAGAATATATATAGCAAAAAACTAAATAGCCAAAAAAAAATCTGATTTAGAAACAATAAAAAATCTGAATAAAAAATTTATACAAATTGCCAATAAATATATGAAATATGTTCAACATCACTGATCATCAGATAAATACAAATCAAAAACCACAATGAGATATTACCTGACCCTAGTTAAAAATGGCTATTATAAAAAGACAGGGAATAATGAATGCTATTAGGGATGTGGAGAAAGGGTAACTCTCATACACTGTTGATGGAAATGAAAATTAATACAGCCACTTTAGAAAAGAGTATAGAGTCTCCTCACAAATCTAAAAATAGAACTACCCTATGATTCAGCAATTTCACTGCTGGATATATATCCAAAGCAAATGAAATTAATATATCAGAGAGATATCTGCACCTTCATGTTTATTGCCGCACTATTCACAATAGCCAAAATGTGGAATCAACCTAAGTGTTTATCAGTGGATGAATGAATAAAGATAACGTGGTATACATACACAATGAAATATTGTTCAGCCGTAAAAAAGAATGACATCTTCTCATTGGAAGCAATATAGATGGAACTTGAGGTCATTATGTTAAATGAAATAAGCCAAGCACAGAAAGATAAATATCACATATTTTTACTCATATGTGGGAGCTAAAAAAATAGATCTCATGAAGATAGAGAATAGATCGGTGGGTATCAGAGGTCAGGAAGTATAGTGGGGATGTGGAGATGAAGAGAGGTTGATTTATAGGCATAAATATACAGTTATAAAGAAGAAATCAGAACTAGTGTCAGAAAGACCAGTAGGGTGACAATAGTTAATAATAATCTATTGTGCATTTCAAAAATAGCTTGAAAAGAATCATTGTAATGTTCCTAGCCTAAAGAAAACTATTTAAGATGATGGATATCCCAATTACCTAATTTAATCTTTACACATTATATGAATTTTATCAAAATACCACATGTACCCCAAAAATATGTGTGTGTGTGTATATATATATATATGAATTGTAAAAAATAATATTTAAAAAAATAAAATGTGGAACCTAAAACAAGTAAGAATAAGTTACAACTTGTTTAACATGCCCAAGAAAGCTGAATCATAAGTTATTGGTAAAAAAAAAGCTGATGAAACAGCAAAACTTCATATATGCAAAGCTAATTAAAAAAAAGTATTTGTGGAAACAGAGGCAGTGAAGAGGAAGTGAAGTATTTGTGGAAACAGAGGCAGTGAAGAGGAAGATGGAACTAAAATATTGTTTGTCTGTTTACAAAATAAATTAATCCCCTATGACTCCGTAATCACCTGGTGATCGACTGTAACCTTGGCAAAAACTTAAGCCGCTGGATGACAATGAGGTTAGGTCCCAGAAACTTTACCAGGAAGCAGAAGAAGAAGTGGGATCTGCGACCTTAGGATAGAGGCAGGGCCAGAAGGCCTTCAGAGGGCAGCACCTACTGTGAGTGGGCCGGACAACAGCACATTAATCCATGTGAAGCTCACGAAGACAGTGAGCCAAGTGCTCCAAATCTACCAGAGCCACAGAATTTAATTCCTTTGCAGTCTTCAATTCAGTTCTAGGGGTCAAAGGACTTGTCTAAATTACCCCAAAGGGACCCCTTTCATGAAGTACATCACTTTAACCACTGTCTGTCAAATAAGACTAAAGACAATCCTCAGAGAAGCTTTGCAGCCATCAGTATTCTTAAACTCTGGAGATGCAAAGCTTAATTGCCTGAGAATTTATGCAAGATAAAATTAGTGTGGGGAACCAATGACTTGTATCAGCTGAGATGAAAAGAGAATAAATTACCCAGGGAGAAGAAGAATCCTGCAATAGAAACAAACAAAAATCATTAAACCTAGTGGGTTATATGTATGGAAAATAATTCAAATTGGCAAAAAAAATTTCAAAAAAGTTGTTTCAGACAAGGTGCCTGTAATGAAAAGTTTAACTCCCACAAACTCTACAAATACAATTAAAAAAAAAAAAAACACACATGCCAACAGCAGTGCTTCACAGTGATTGTATATAAACAGGGTGATTTGCTTAGCAGCACTTAAGTCTAATAAGAAAACTGAGCTGCTTGCTTTATAACCAACAGATGGTAATATCGTTTGGATTTGTGTCCCCACCCCAATCTCATGTCAAATTGTAATCCCCAAAGTTGAAGAAGTGGCTTGGTGGGAGGAGATTGGATCATGGGGACAGAACTCCCCCTTGCTGTTCTCATGATAGTGAGTTCTCAGGAGATCTGATTGCTTAAAAGTGTGTAGCACCTCCTCCTTTGCTCTCTTCTTCCTGCTTCTGCCATGTAAGACGTACCAGCTTCTTTCCTTCACCTTCCACCATGACTGTAAGTTTCCTGAGGCCTCCCCAGAAGCAGAAGCCTATATACCCTGTAGAACTGGGAGCCAATTAAACCTCTTTTTTAAAATAAATTACCATTCTCAGGTAGTTCTTTATAGCAATGTGAGATCAGACTAATACAGAAAATTGGTATCAAGAAGTGGGGAATTGCTATAAAGATGCCTGAAAATGTGGAGGCAGCTTTGGAACTGGGTAATGGGCAGAAGTTGGAACAGTTTGGAGAGTTCAGAAAAAAACAGGAAGATGAGGGAAACTTTGGAACTTCCTAGAGATTTGTTGAATGGTTGTGACCAAAATGCTGACAGTGATATGGACAATGAATTCCAGGCTGAGGTGGTCTCAGATGCAGATGAGGAACTCATCAAGAACTGGAGCCAAGGTCACTTTTGTTATGTGTGAGCAAAGAGGTGATCCGAAACTGTAAATTATTTAAAAGTGAAGTAGAGTGTTAAAGTTTGAAAAATTTGCAGCCTGACCATGTGGTAGAAAAAATAAATAAATAAATAAAAATTTCTGGGGAGGAATTTAAGCCAGCTGCAGAAATTTGCATAAGTAAAGAGGAGCCAAATGTTGACAGCCAAGATAATGGGAAAAATTCCTCAAAGGCATTTCAAAGACCTTTGCAGCAGCCCCTGCCATCAAAGGCCTGGAGGTGTAGGAGGGAAAAATGATTTTTTGGGCCAGGCCCAGGGCCCGGTTTCTCTGTGCAACCTAAGGACATGGCACCCTGCATCACAACTGCTCCAGCTCTAGCCATGGCTAAAATGGCCCAAAGTACAGCTCAAACATTTTATTCAGAGGATGCAGGCCATAAGCCCTAGTGTCTTCCAGGTGGTGTTAAGGTCTGTGGGTGTGCATATTGTGAGAATTGAGGCTTGGGAACCTCAACCTAGATTTCAAAGGATGTGTGGAAACACCTGGATGTCCAGGCAGAAGTCTGCTGCAAGGGGTGGGGCACTCATGGAGAACCTCTACTAGGGTAGTGTGGAGGGAAAATGTGGGGTTGGAGCCCCCACACGGAATCCCCACTGGGGCACTGCCTAATGGAGCTGTGAGAAGAGGGCCACCATCATTCTGACCCCAGAATGACAGGCCCACCAACATCTTGCATCATGCACCTGGAAAAGCCTCAGTCACTCAACACCAGCACACTAGCCCCTGAAAGTAGCTGCAGGGACTGTACCCTGCAGAGCCACAGGGGTGGAACTGCCCAAGGCCTCAGAAGTCCACCTCTTGCATCAGTGTTTCTTGGATGTGAGGCATGAAGTCAAAGATATTATTTTGGAGCTTTAACTTTTAATGACTGCCCTGCTGGGTTTCAGACTTGCATAGGGCCTGTAACCTCTTGGTTTTGGCTGATTTCTCCCTTTTGGAACAATAGTATTTGGCCAATGCCTGTACCCCCATGGTATGTTGGAAGTCACTAACTAGTTTTGATTTCACAGGCTCACAGATAGAAGGGACTTGCCTTGTCTCAGTTGTGACTTTGGACTGTGGTCTTTTGAGTTAATGCTGAAATGAGTTAAGACTTCGGTGGCTGTTGAGAAGGCATGAATGTATTTTGAAATGTGAGAAGAACATGAGATTTGGGAGAGGTCTGGTACAGAATGATTCAGTTTGGATTTGTGTCCCAGCCCAATTCTCATATTGAATTGTAATCCTCAATGTTGGAGGAGGGGCCTGGTGGTAGGTGATTAGATCATGGGGGTGGATATCTCCCTTGCTGTTCTCGTGACAGTGAGTGAGTTTTCACAAGATCTAGTTGTTTAAAAGTTTGTAGCACCTCCCCCTTCACTCTCTTCCTCCTGCTCTGGCCATGTAATATGTGCCAGCTTCCTCTTCGCCTTCTGCCATGATTGTAGCATTCCCAAGACCTCCCTAGAAGGAGAAGCCTATGTAGCCTGCAGAACTGTGAGCCAATTAGACCTCTTTTCTTTATAAATTACCAAGTCTCAGGTAGTTCTTTATAGAAATTTGAGAATAGACTAATACAGATTGTGCCCATCCCCAGCAGCAATTCTGCAACAGGTAGCTAATCTGAATCTTATAAAATATGTTATGCCTTGAAGCTGGCAAGGAAAGACTCTATGGATATGAAATAAAATAAGAAGGTGGAGCAGAATTAAGAGGAGGAGAAGGAGGATGTTAGCAGGAGGAGGTAAAACAGGAGAAAATCCTGACTTTAAAAGTATTAAATTTCACTTTTAAAGCTTATGTATTGTGTGAGATGGACCATATTACAGATAACTACACACTCAGTGTAAATATTAACAAGGAAAAAACCTACTCCCAAAAGGGAAGTACGAAAAAAACACTTTTGTTTATCTTGGTATTGATGAAGAAAAACAAACAAACAAAAATCTAACTTAGAATTTGCAAATCAAAACCAGCCACCAGTGAGTTTTAGGCCCAAGTGCATACTATTGTGTCATCCAAGACCACAAACAGAATACGTAATACAAAATGGTGCCAAATTGGTAATATCCTTAAGTGACTGGCAGAAGAAAATGCAAATCTAATTAGAATGAACACAGCTTCAATCCAGGCAGCAAAACGTTTCTATAGATAAAAACCTCAGAGTCGAAATATCACAAAAGACACAAAGAAATATAATAAGTAAGAGTAAAATCAGAAGAAACTACAGATAAGACTCATAAATCTTTCCATATTGCCATAATCAGATATAGCACAAAAATAACTGTGCTTAATGTTTCATAATGCAATAGAGAGGCCTGAATATATAAGTAAAGTGAAAGTAACTGTAAAATAAAAAGATCAAGTTGGTTGGAAAACAAACATAAAACCTCTTCAAGTTAAAGAATAATTAAAATAAAAACACAATAAATTGGCTAAATAATCAGATTAGACAGAGTTGGGAAGCTTATTAGTTAACTAAAAGATCAGAAATTATCAAAGCATACAACACAGAGAAGCATCGACATTAAAATTATGAAAGTCTGATTAAGATAAATGGCAGAACCAGTTGGTATAATATTAAAAGGAAATCAAGATGGCCAGGTATGGTGGCTCACGCCTGTAATCCCAGCACTTTGAGAGGCCGAGGCGGGCACATCACGTGAGGTCAGGAGTTTAAGACCAGCCTGGCCAACTTGGTGAAACCGAAACCCTGTCTGTACTAAAACTACAAAAAATTAGCTGGGCGTGGTGGCACGCATCTGTAGTCCCAGCTACATGGGAGGCTGAGGCATAAGAATCTCCTGAAGCTGGGAAGTGGAGGTTGCAGTGACCAAGATTGTGCCACTGCACTCCAGCCTGGGTGGCAGAGTGAGATTTTGTCTCAGAAAAAAAGAAAACAAAAGGAAATCAAGTCCTAATTTAGATTTATCAGAACGAGAACAAGGAAGACAAAGAGATCTTTGAAAATCTTATACAGCTGTACAAGGAATGAGTAGGGAAAAACATAGATTGACAGACAAATGATGCATGCACATATGCCTATCATTGTTTATTAAAAAACACAACATAAAAAACTTTACTTGCGGAAGATACAGAAAAAAATGGAAGAAACTAGGACTATAATATTTTATCTATTATACTTTTACTATAAATTTAGCATTGAAAACAAATATTTAATATTTTAAAAATAAAATATGAAAAACTGAAATTTAACTGTACATAAACTGTTGATATAGCCACATGTATTAGTTTTCTGGTTCTGTTGTAACAAATTATTGGTTTAAAACAGCACAAATTCATTGTTTTATAGTTCTATAGATCAGAATTCTAGTATAGGTGTCACTGGAATAAAGTCAAGATGACAGCATGTTTTGTTCCTCTCTGAAGCGTTTAGGATATACTTCTTGGCCTGATTATTTTTGTTGTTAGCCAAACTCAGTTCCATGCAGTGATAGGAATAAAGTCTCTGTTTTGTTTTTTTTTTTGCTGTCTGTACCAGAAGGCTGTTTCCAGCATCTAGAGGTGTTGGATTTTTTGACACATGGCCTCATTCACCCAGCTTCAAGCCAGAGAAGTTCTGCTCATGGGGCATGTTTCTACCCAGTATTCTGCACCCTCTTCTTATTCTAAGAACTCATAGGATTGCATTGGGCCCATCCACATAATCCAGAATATCTCCCAATTTCAAAGTTTTTAAGGATGGCTGATTATCAACCTTAATTTTAATTGCTACCTTAATCCCATTTCACAATGTAAGGTAATATATTCACAAGTTATTGGAATTACAATGCAGACATCTTTGGGACTCTGTTATTCTGCCTAATGTATTACACAAAGAAGAATTTATTTTACCTTACTGTAGAACACAGCATTTTGATTATTTCTACTTGGTGTGACATATTCTAAAAACAAATACCAGAAATGAATTTGAAGTTTTATTCTTTCTTTGAATTGTTATTAATGATATTGCTATTATTATTTTCAAACAATTTTACATAGATACATATTACTATTTATATATATATACATGATAAATTAACAAAATATTTATGTTGTTAGCTACAAATTTTTTTGGTAAAACAGAAAACTATACAGAAAACTATAGTAATCTAAGAGGTTACATTACAAACACTGTAATGTTATAATTAATTGGAAATAACATAAACATTATTTTTAGTATTGTAATACAAACTTATGAATGCACACACAGACACACATATTTATAAACTGCTAAGTATGTGGCATATTTATAAACTGCTAAGCAATAAAAAATCCAAATAGCAATGATTATCCTATTCTTAAATAGTGATTACAAAATATCACTATCCATGAAAAAGCAAACAAAAAAAAACGGGGTTTCTTGAAAGAAGTTGCTGATTCTAAGTCATGTACAGAATACTGACAGTAAGGAACTTAGGATGTTTTGTGACATAAAATAAAGATGCTATTAAAAATATTTTGGTTTTGTCAAAAGGACACAAAAACAATATAAAAGGGATCCCACTGAACTTTAAAAAATGCTTCTCCAATTGGACTGATTGAAAAATGAGTTCTTAATGTTATGAGAAACACAGAGTGAGAATAAAACCAGAATAAATTGGACACCTATTGATGTAATTAGTCTCATTGTTTGAAAAATAATTTGAAATTTCTTACATTTTTTGTACGAGTTGTATTTCAGATTAAATATATGACTAGTTCACGAGAAAAAATAATCATTACAGATGAATTTTAATAAACAATTTTACAAGTAAATATTGTACTAGAAAATCACGGTTTTTCAACCTTTAAATAATTTATTGATTCAAGATAAGATTATTCATGGATTAAACCACTAGATGTATACAGCTGATGAAATTTAATGTAGTCACAAGGCTGTCATTACCTGAACCACTCATTTATTCACAACTAGATATTATATGTGCTTCTGAATGTGACATAATATGAAGTTCAAATAGACCATGTATGAATATTCTAAGGGAAAAGAACACAATTAAATCCAATTAATCTTTTGGAGTTAATATCTTATATTACAGGGTATACAAAAGCAACAGAACAAGTTAAGTGACAACACAAGTAAAGAATGCAGAGAGTGGGACATTCGACTGGGTGAATGATCAAATTTCTTCAAAAAGTCAATGGCATTATGAAAATACAAGTAGGTGGCCAGGCATGGTGGCTCACACCTGTGATCTTAGCACTTCAGGAGGCCAAGGCAGGCAGATCACTTGAGGTCGGGAGTTTGATATCTGCCTGGCTAACATGGCAAAACTCCCTCTCTACTAAAAATACAAAAATTAGCTGGGCATGGTGTCATGCACTTGTAATTCCAGCTACTCAGGAGGTTGAGGCATGAGAATCACTTGAACCTGAGAGGTGGAGGTTGCAGCGAGCCAAGATTGCACCACTGCACTCCAGCCTGTGTGACAGAGTGAGACTCTGTCTCAAAAATAAAAATAATAATAATAATAATACAAGTAGGGGCTATTTATTTAGGAGAGGCTTAAAAGATATAACAAGTAAATGAAACATGAATATGAACTACATATTATAAGGTATTAAGAAAAGTTTTGTTAATGGAATTGTGTTTAAGTAAAAAAAAGGACAAATTGCTTAAAAATGCCTACTAAAGTGTAGTAAAATGAAGTGACATAAGATTTGGGACTTGATTTAAAATGATAAAGAAAAGAGATAAAGTGAGTTTGGCAAACTTTTGTTAAAATTTTGAATTTAAATTATGAGCATGTGGTGTCCAATTATATTACCTATGTTTATGTGTATATTTACAATTTTTATAATTAAAATAAAACATACAAGAATGATATGAACATTCTGTTGCCATAAAGAAAGAACTGAGACTAGGTGATTCATCAAAAAAAAGAGGTTTATTGGCTCACAGTTCTGCAGGCTGTACAGGAAACATGGCACCAGGCATCTGCTGTGCTTCTAGGGAGGCCTCAGGAAGCTGACAATCATGGTGGAAGGCAAAGGAGGGAGCTGACATATAACATGGCCACAGCAGGAGCAAGAGAGAGGTAGGAGGATGATGCCACACACTTTTAAACAGTGAAATATCCAGATGTTCCAAGAACTCACTAATGCAAGGGTAGCACTAAGGGGATGGCATTAAACCATTCGTGAGAAATTCACCATGATCCAATCACCTCCCACCAGGCTCCACTTCTAACACTGGGAATCAAAACTCAATATGAGATTTAGAGGAAACTAGATCCAAACTATAACAAACATACTATTTTAATAGATTTGAGAAGGTGTGTGATAAGTTCCTATAAAAATACAACTTCCCAAGTAAGACACAAATAAATAGAAAACCTGCATGTCCTATAACCACCAAATGTACCTGAATTGAAAGTTAAGAGTCTTCCCACAGAGAAAACAACAGGCTTAGATCATTTTCCTGGTGAGTTCTATAAAATATTCAAGAAACATATAACTTTGATTTTACACAAAACCTTCCACAGAAGAGAATAAGATGAAATACAATCTTTTTGTTTATGATGCTGGCAATACTTTGAAAGCAAACAAAGCAAGAAGAGTATAAAAAATGAAAATTATAAGTCAGTCTCATTTACAAATATATGTTTAAAAACTGTAAACAAACATTTATAAACAGAATCTGTCAATTCATGAAATAATTATCTAAACCTCCCCTTAAGCTCTATATTTTAGGAAAACTGGGCTAAGTTTCTACCTTACACTACGGAGAAAATCAACACTACTTTATTAGACTTAAATGTAGATGAAAAAATCTATTTTAAAATATGTAATGAAATAATTATAGTGTAATTTTATAATAGTTTGTGGCTAGGCAAGGTGGCTCATGGCTGTGATCCCAAAACTTTGGGATGCCAAGGTATGAATCACTTGAGCCTGTGTGTTCAAGACCTGCATGAGCAACATAGAGAGATCCCATCTCTACAAAAAATTAAAAAAAAAAAAAATAGCTGGGAGTGGTGGCACACACTTAAGAGAAGGTTGAGGTTGGAGAATTGCTTCAGTTTGGAAGACTGAAGCTGCAGTGAGCCATAATTGTGCCACATTCCAGCCTGGGTTGCAGAGCAAGACCCTGTCTAAAAGAAAAAATAAAGGAAAGGAAAAAGTATGTGAATATTTCAAGATTAATGAATATAATATTTTAATATTAACTCAGCATATAAACTATCTCTTAAGATAAAATAACAAAAATTATAAAAGGAAACACAACTTTCCATATGCATTTAGAATAAAACCTAGTCATCAAACAATATAAGATGATGAGAGCACACCTAAAAACTTGTAGAAGACATCTTAAACACACAAATGCAATGAATTATTAGTTTTTAGAAACTTTAAAGTTTAAAGCAAAAAGAAAACAATAATTAATAAATGGGCAAAATACCTGAAAAAACATCAAAGAAGAGGAAATGCTAAATATATAAAACATGTTCAATTTCACTAATATTCAGAGTATGCAAATTAAATTACCATTTTTTTTTTACCCATCAAGACAATAAAAGTAAATTTCTGATAATATCACATATTAAAGGGCATGTGAAACAACAAAAATGCTTATACAACATTGGCAAGTGTGTACATTTTGGAAACACCTAAAATTATGTAATATAGTGAAATATATTCAGATCCTAATATTTTACTCCAAGACATATGCCTATCAAAACTGTTGGATAAGACACAAAGAGACATGTAAAAGGATGGTCAGAGTTGCATAATTTTTAATTCTGAAAACCTGTCACCTATGTCTTTCAGCATGGAAATGGATAATTTTATAAATGATTTATAAGTAAATCATTATAAATTTATAAGTAAATCATTTATAAAATTGATTAGTATATGGCAACTGAAATTAGGTGTCTTGGTGATTTTTCTGATAGGATGATCAAATGGGGACACAAAGTCTGTGACACATGAAAAGAAGAAATTAGATAATAATTTGAGGGATCACATAAATCAAGATAAGTTATTTTATATATATTCCTGAACATATAAGCTGAAGAAAGCATCATAGTGAAATGGAGTTTCCAGAATGTATGCAATTATATGAAATAATTTCATAAGATTGAGGAGGGTTATTTGTTAGAATGTCTTTGTCTCAAAAACTTGACTTCTCTTCAAACATTTATTTCTTAATAGTTCAATTGTTTTCATGTTCAAGTATTGACTTTTTTCCAAAAACTAGATGAATAATGTGTGACATTGTTTTTATTTCTACTTTTTTTTAACTTAGAGACAGGGTCTCCCTCTGTCACCCAGGCTGGAATGCAGTGGTGTGATCATATTTCATGGTAGCCTCAATCTTCTGAGCTCAAGCAATCCTCCCACCTTAGCCTCTCGAGCAGCTGGGACTACAGGTACATACCACCATGCCCTGCCATGCTATTTATTTTTGTTTTTGTCGAGACAATGTCTTTCTATGTTGCCTAGGCTGCTCCCAAACTTATGGCCTTATGTGATCCTCCCACCTAGGTGATCCTCCTGCCTTGATCTCTCAAAGTGTTGGGATTACAGGCATGAGACACTACACCAAGCCTGTGCTAAACTGTTTTAATGATAGTATTTTTTATATTTCTGTAAGTTTTTCTTTCTCCTAAGTGTAATCAAACTCCTAAGTGTAATCAAAAAAATAAAATATTTTTATTAAGTTTCTACATGGAAATTTACATTGCTATGAATATAAATACAAAATGCATAAAGCAATGCCACGCACCAAGAATTAATATGAAAGTGTCTTTTATTACATTTTTTCTTGCATTCCACCATTCAGTCTCTAATCCCTTTTAAGCACTGAACCGCCCAAGGCTCATTGCCTCAGGAAACCATGCAAATTTCACCCTTTTGCGTACCTAAACAACATGCTTTAGGTAAAAGACAGAATTTGAGATCCATAAGTAAAAACAATAGAGGAAAGATCATAAACAACTTTATGTCTTTCTTATGTACTCTTTCTGTAATAAGTAGATTTTTGTGAGTTGGGGGAGGGGGCAGTGGTGGGAGACTGGTAAACAGAAAGAAGTGATGAGAGAAAAACACTGGTAAGTTCCAGGGAGAAAGCCCTCATGATCTTATGATTCCCAGGTTGAAGCTTGTGAGATGGTAAAATCCCAGAGAGGGAAAAATGCTCCTCCATTCTCTATCTGGACAAAAGAGACTTTCAACAGGCTTGCAGAGATTTCTGTACCCCAATAGACACCAAAGTAGCAGGAAGATTTCTGGATGCCCATGTACTGCTCAGAAACACTGGAGGAAGCTACTTGGGAAGAAATAAAATAAATGCAATATGTACTTATGAACCAATGTTATAACTTCTGACTGCTATCTCATTGGATATCTGAAAAGGGAGTTGACATGAAAACCAAATCCTGGCTCTCAATGCATTGCGAAAGCCCTTCTCCTCTACAACGTAGATACAATGCTCATTAGTTTCTCATTAAAGCTGTAGAGGTGATTTTCAAAGTGTATGAAGAGAGACAAGCAGGAGTGACCCCAGGTGACACCAAAAGCACAAGTTGCCTAACAAAGGTTTGTTTAGAAAGAGAGATTTTCCCTTTCCCCAAAGAAAGAGCTGCTCCTGAGCTCAATTTCTTGTGACATACAGGAAAAGGGAGCTTCTTATTTTTCTGGAGCCAGAATGCAACTCCAACTAAAGCCCTCTGCTCCATTTCTCTTAAGTGCAGACCCATCCTTAATCCAGTGGGCACAATCTAATCAGCTGCCAGCAAATATAAAGCAGGCAGAAAAACATGAAAAGGTGACAGTGGCCTAGCCTCCCAGCCTACATCTTTCTCCCATGCTGGATGTTTCCTGCCCTCAAACATCAGACTCCAAGTTCTTCAGTTTTGAGACTTGGACTGACTCTCCTTGCTCCTAGGGCTTGCAGACAGCCTCCTGTGGGACTTTGTGATCATGTAAAGTAATACTTAATAAGCTCTCATATATATATATATATATATAAATGTTATTAGTTCTGTCCCTCTAGAGAACCCTGACTAATACAGATTTTGGTATCAGGAGTGGTTCTGGAGGAACAGAATATTAAGTTTGGAGGTTTTTTTGTTGGTTTTGGGGTTTCTGGAGTTGGCTGCTTAATATAATTAGACGTAAAATGCTAAGGATGGAGAACACTGATAGTCCTTGGCATGAACTGTTTAAAGAGTTATGCAAAATAAATTTATTCAACAATCTTGATTCACCACTCATGAGAGGCAAGGAGTTTAGTGACTCTATACATAATAAACATAGGAACATAATGAAGCTGGTTGGTTACTCCTAAATTTAGTGGGCAAAGTGATGAAAGAAAATAATAAACTCAGGGATTCTGTCTCCCAGCTTCAGAAGCACATACTGAGCCTCAAATCTGCAAAGATTGCCCTGAGTAAGAGTCTTATCTCCTGTAGAGAAAGAGCTGAAATTATCGAAAAACAGACATAAGCTCTTATCATGTGAGTGGTTAACCTGCAATGAAAGGTGCATGTACAGCCTCGCCAGGTGTCTACTGTTAAAGTGAAGACATTGATTGGAAAAGAATGAGACCCTGCAACTTGGAATGGGGACATGTGAGAGAAGGGACATCAGATGGAGACACAGAGTTTGTAAACTCTGATGAACCATTTTTGCCAAAAGGAGCAGCTTCCCCATCCCCAATAGTGGCAATATCCCCTCCCTGACCCATGCTGCCATGAGCCTTTCCACCTTTGTCAGAGGAGATAAATACCTCATTGCCTGAGGCTACAATGATGGTCTCCCCTGAGGCAGGGGAGACTTTTGACAGGCAAAGTAATATTGATTATCCTCAGGAGCCACCCCCAACGCCCCTGTTTGCTTCTAGATCTATAACTAGACTAAAGTCCTGGCGGGTCCCTGGAGGTAAGGTTGAGAGTGTGACCCATGAGGAGGTACATTACACTTGAAAAGAACACTTGAAAAGAACTGCTCGAGTTATCTAATTTATATAAACAGAAATCTGGAGAACAGGCATGGAAATGGATATTAAGGGTATAGGATAATGGTGGAAGGCACAGAGTTTGATCAGGCTGCATTTATTCATTTGGACCCACTAAGTAGAAACTCTGCATTTAATGTTGCAAATCAGGGAGTCCAAAAAGTTCTAATAGTTTGTTTGGTTAGCTGAAATGTAGATTAAAAGATGGCCCACCATGGGGGAGCTGGAAATGTTGGATCTCCCTTGGTTTAATGTAGAGGAAGGGATCCAAAGGCTTAAGGAGATTGGGATAGCGGAGTTGATTAGTCACTTTAGACCTACTCATCCCAGCTGGGAGGGCCCAGAAGGTATACCCTTGACTAATGCCTTACTAAATAGATTTGTGAGGGCAGCACCTGAATCTTTTAAGAGCCCTATAATTGCTCTTCTCTGTATGTCTGGTCTAACAGTGGGAACCACAGTCACTCAACTACAAAATTTAAATACAATGGGAATAATTTGATCCCAAGGTGGCAGAGGCCAAGTGGTAGCACTCAATTGTCAAAGGCAAGGTAGGTGTAGCTATCATAATGGACAGCAGAGACAAAGCAGCGATCAGAATATTATGAGTCATGTAGAGCTCTGGATTGGCTAATTAATCATGGTATTCCTAGAAGTGAAGTTGATAGAAAGCATACTGAATTTCTACTTAATTTATATAAGGAAAAAAATCCTTGGTCGAATGGACAAAAGAGTAATTTGAATTCTAAAAACAGAATCTTGGCCCCTCAAACAATTTCCAGACTTGAGCCAATTTACAGACCCAAAACCCCTTGAATAAAGGGGAGGCCAGGTCCCCTTGAGGAAGGACCGCACTACATTACCTACAATTTGTGCAGTTAATTTTTCTCCCATCCATCCCCAAGGATACCTCTGGCCTTTTACCAGGGTAACTGTGCACTGGGGATAGGGAAATAATCAGACCTTTCAGGGACTACTGGACACTGGCTCTGAGACAATGTTGTTTCTAGGGGACCCAAAATGTCATTGTGGTCCTCCAGTTAAAGTAGAGGCTTAGGGTGGTCACCTAATTAATGGAGATTAATTAAGTTCAATTCCAACTTACAGTGGGTCCAGTTGGTCCTCAGACTCATCCTGTGGTCTGTGCCAGAATGTATAATTGGCATAGGCATACAGAGCAACTGGCAGAACCCCCCACGATGGCTCCCTGACTGGTAGGGTGATTATGGTTATTATGGTGGTAAAGGCCAAATGAAAGCCATCGGAGCTGCCTCTACCTAGAAAAGTAGAAAATCAAAAAAAAAAATCACATTTCTTGAGTGATTGTGGAGATTAGAGCCACCATCAAGGACTTGAAAGATGAAGGGGTGGCAGTTCCCCCCACATCCCCATTCAACTCTCCCATTTGGCCTGTGAAGAAGACAGATGGATTTTGGAGAATGACACTGCATTATCTTAAGCTTATCCAAGTGGTGACTCCAATTGCAGCTGCAGTACCAGATGTGGTTTCATTGCTTGGGCAAATTAACGTATCTCCTGGTACATGCTGTGCGGCCACTAACTTGGCAAATGCCTTTTTCTCCATTCCTGTCCATAAGACCCACCAGAAGCAATTTGCCTTCAGCTGGCAAGGCCAGCAATATACCTTTATTGTCCTACCTCAGGGGTATGTCGACTCTCCAACTTTGTGTCATAATCTTATGTGGAGAGACCTTGATTGCTTTTCGCTTCCACAAGATATCACACTGGTCCATTACATTGATGACATTATGCTGCTTGGATCCAGTGAGAAAGAAGTATCAAACACACTGGACTTATTGGTGAGACATTTGCATGCCAGAGGATGGGAAATAAATCTGAATAAAATTCAAGGAATTTCTACCTCAGTAAAATTTCTAGATGTCCAGTGGTGTGGGGCCTGTCAAATTATTCCTTCTAAAGTGAAAGATAATTTGCTGCATTTGGCCCCTCTTACAACTAAGAAAGAGGTAGAACCCCTAGTGGGCCTATTTGGATTTTGGAGGCAACACTTTTCTCATATAGGTGTGTTACTCCAGCCCATTTACTGAGTGACCTGAAAGGCTGCCAGTTTTGAGTGGGGTCCAGAACAGAAGAAGGCTCTGCAACAGTTCCAGGCTACTGTGCAAGATATTCTGCCACTTGGGCCATATGACTCAGCAGATCCAATGGTGCTTGAGGTGTCAGTGGCGGATAGGGATGCAGTTTGGAGCCTTTGGCAGGCTCCCATAAGTGAATCACAGCAGAAGGCTCTAGGATTTTGGAGCAAGGCCCTGCCATCTTCTGCAGATAACTACTTTCCTTTTGAGAGACAGCTTTTGGCCTGTTACTGGGCTTTGGTGGAAACCGAACATTTGACTATGGGTCATCAAGTTGCCAAGTGACCTGAATTGCCTATCATTAACTGGTTGCTTTCTGACCCACCTAGCCATAAAGTAGGTTGTGCATAGCAGCATCCCGTCATCAAATGGAAGTAGTATATACTTGATCAGGCTTGAGCAGGTCCTGAAGGCAAAGGTAAGTTATATAAGGAAGTGGCTCAAATGCCCATGGTCTCCACTCCTGCCACCCTGCCTACTGTTGCCCAGCCTGCAGCTGATGGCCTCATGAGGAGTTCCCTAGGATTAGCTGACAGAGAAAGAGAAGACTAGGGGCTCATTCACTGATGTTTCTGCAGGATATGCAGGCACCACCCAAAAGTGGACAGCTGCAGCACTACAGCCCCTTTTTAGGACATTCCTGAAGGACAGTGGTGAAGAGAAATCTTCCCATTGGGCAGGACTTTGAGCAGTGCACGTGGTTGTGCACTTTGCATGGAAGAAAAAATGGCCAGATATGCAATTATATACTGATTCATGGACTGTAGCCAAGTATTTGGCTGGATGGTCAGGGACTTGGAAGAAGCACAATTGGAAAATTGGTGACAAAGAAATTTGGGGAAGAGGTATGTGCATGGACCTCTCTGAGTGGTCAAAAACTGTGAAGATATTTGTATCCCATGGGAGTGCTCACCAACAGGTGACCTCAGCAGATGAGGATTTTAATAATGAGTAGATAGGACAACCCATTCTGTGGACCCCACTCAGCCTCTTTCCCCAGCCACCCCTGTCTTCGCCCAATGTACCCATGAACAAAGTGGCCATAGTGGCAGGGATGGAGGTTATGCAAGCGCTCAGAAAAATGGACTTCCACTCACCAAGGTTGACCTGGCTATGGCCACTGCTGAGTGCCCAATTTGCCAGCAGCAGAGACCAACACTAAGCCCTCAATATGGCACTATTGCTTGGGGTGATCAGCCAGCTACCTGGTGGCAGGTTGATTATACTGGACCTCTTCAATCATTGAAAGGACTGAGGTTTGTCCTCACTGGAATAAACACTTACTCTGGATATAGGTTTGCCTATTCTGCATGCAATGCTTCTGCCAAGACTACCATCTGTGGACTCACAAAATGCCTTATCCAATGTCATGGTATTCCATATAGCATTGCCTCTGACCAAGGCACTCACTTTACGACTAAAGCAGTGTGGCAGTGGGCTCATGCTCATAGAATTCACTGGTCTTACTATGTTCCCCATCCTCCTGAAGCAGATGGATTGATAGAATGGTGGAATGGCCTTTTGCAGTCACAATTACAACGCCAACTAAATGGCAATACTTCGCAGGGCTGGGGCAAAGTTCTTCAGAAGGCCGTGTATGCTCTGGATCAGCATCCAATATATGGTACTGTTTCTCTCATAGCCAGGATTTATGGGTCCAAAAATCAAGGGATGGAAGTGGAAGTGGTACCACTCACCATCACCCCTAGTGATCCACTAGCAACATTTTTGCTTCTTGTTCTTGCGACATTACATTCTGCTGGCATAGAGGTCTTAGTTCCAGAGGGAGGGGGAACTAGGAGACACAACTACAATTTCATTAAACCGGAAGTTAAGATTGCCACCTGGACACTTTTAGCTTCTTCTACCTTTAATTCAACAGGCTAACAAAGGAGGTACAAAGTTGGCTGAGGTGACTGACCTGGACTATCAAGATAAAATCAGTCTACTACTCCATAATGGAGGTAAGGAAGAGTATGCATGGAATACAGGAGATCCATTAGGACATCTCTTAGTATTACCATGCCCTGTGATTAACATCAATGGGAAAGTACAACAGTCCAATCCAGGCAGGACTACAAATGGGCCAGACCCCTCAGGAATGAAGGTTTGGATCACTCCACCAGAAAAAATATCACGACCTGCTGAGGTGCTTGCTGAAGGCAAAGGGAATACAGAATGGGCAGTAAAAGGAGGTAGTCATCAATACCAGCTATGACCACGTCACCAGCTGCAGAAACGAGGACTGTAACTGTCATGAGTATTTCCTCCTTCTTTTGTTAAAAACATGTTTGTGCATGTTTACACTTGTACTAAGAAAATATCTTCATTTTATTTCCTTTTCCTTTATCATGTGACATAAGATTTATTGACTTTATATGAGCATTTAAGTATTGTTAACTTTATGTAATAGTATTTGGGTTGGGGATCGGTGTGTTCCTGGTTGTAAGAAGGACAGTTGTATTATGTTAGGCATAATTATGACTATTGTTGTCTTTATTTGAAAATTATGTATGATCTCAGGAGATGTGTATGGTTTCAAGTTGACAAGGAGTGGACTTGTGATGATTAATACCAAGTGTCAATTTGATTGGATTGAAGGATGCAAAGTATTTATCCTGGGTGTGTCTGCAAGGGTGTTGCCAAAGGAGATTCACATTTGAGTCAGTAGGCTAGGGAAGACAAACCCACCCTTAACCTGGTGGGCACAATCTAATCAACTGCCAGTGAATATAAGGGTGGCAGAAAAACGTGAAAAGGTGAGACTGGCCTAGCCTCCCAGCCTACGTCTTTCTCCCATACTGGATGCTTCCTGCCCTCAAACATTGGACTGCAAGTTCTTCAGTTTTGAGACTTGGACTGGCTCTCCTTGCTCCTCAAGCTTGTAGACAGGTTATTGTGGGACATTGTGGTCATGTAAGTTAATACTTAATAAACTTCCCTTTATATATATATGAGATATGTATTATATATAAAATAATATATTAAATAATATATATAATTGTAATATAATAAATTAAATAATATAAATATACATTATATTTGTATTTATGTATTATATGACATAAATACATATTAATTCTGTCCCCCAGGGAACCCCAACTAATACACTGTTTATACTTTTAAAAACTATTAATGATTCCCAAATAACTGTTTATGTGATGTTTAATTAAAATTAAAGCAGATTCTAAAATAAGTTATTAATTCATTGAAAAATTGCAATAGTAAATCGATTCCATGTTAACATATTGGTATTTTTTAATTAAGCATTATATTTTCTAAAACATAACAAACAATGGGGGTGACATTGTTTTATATTTTTGCAAATTTCTTTGAATCTGGCTTAATAGAAGACAGCTGGATTCTTATATCTGTTTCTGCATTCTGTTAAGCTATCCCATGCCATGTATCCTCCATAAAATTGAGCTGTCCTTTACTGGTTTTTAACCATCTGTAAGCTAACTTTCTGTAATTTTTTCTTTTACAAGCAGATATATTTAAAAAAACAAATAACAAGCATCTCTTTAGTATCACATTTTCCTTAACATCTTTTTTATACATATTTCATAACTTTCAATTAATATTTCAAAAACCATCAAACATTCCCTACTCATCAGTTAAGGCAATAAATATTTAGTGATTGTCAATTGTGCACCGGGTAATTTCCAGTCGGTAGAGATGAAGCATCAAAAACTATAATCCTATCATTTATAAATTTGGAGCCTAGTTAGGAAAATAAAGTTTCAAAAAAGTTTATTTATTTGGGAAGTGCAACAATAGAGATATCTCAGGTATATATATACTGACAACACAGTCTTCCTTCAAACTCTTTATTTGACTTTCCAGGATGAAGTATCCTGATTTATCTCCTATTGCTATTCTATTTTTTTTGTTTTTTGCTATTCTGTGTTTTCTCTGCTATCTATTGATTCTGATGTCTTCCTTCAGGCTTCCCAAGGCTTCCCTAGATATATATATTTTTTATTTCTCTTTAACTTTTCCTGCAAATTGACTTAAATAGATTTGGAATTTTTGTAATTATCAGTTCTGTGGGTAAATAACAATAGTCTCCAGCAATTAGAGTTAAGTGAAGTTGGAATAACTTTGTCTTACAACTTTGCTCACTGATAGTGAGTGTAGCGTAACAGAAATCTTAGATTAAAATCTGCCAAATGTAATGCAAACATTTATTAGAAAAAGGGAGATGGAGGAAATACAAGTACACAACTTGTTCTCGTAGTTAGGGAAAGTACCAGTTCTCAGGCATGCAAAACATACTACATAAACTCTGAGGTGCTTGCAAAGGTAAACCTGAGACAGATCAGCCAATCTTCTGGTTAACTAAGAAATTTAGACCTTGGATAGTGAAGGAGACAGAGGAGCATAGCATCAGACTAGAGCCTTAGAGCATAACACTAATTTGAAGACAATAGGACAATGGGCTTGCCGAAATATGTATAACATATTCATACTTAATTTAACATGCATTGAATTCCATCCTTTATTTCAATATTAAAATAGGTCTACAATTCTTTAAGCTAATTGATGAGTTTTCTGTGGAGTCTTTGAAATATTTCAATTATTTACATAGCTATTTCTGGAGTGTAGATTGCTATTTATAATGTCTAATATAGTAAGTAGTTATTAATAGAATGTGGACTGCTGATTAGTCTATTTCAAATGCTGTCCTTTAAATGTACTTAATGGCTTTAATGCATGCATTTATATGCATATATATATTTATATCACATTATTTATGATGCCATATTTGACTATAAATTATGTTCCATACCTTACAGCAATGTATTTGCGTATATTTCTAATTTTTAAAAACATTTCAAGATCTCAATGTCTATTGAATTCAGTTTCACTTTACATGTAAATAATGTCATTTAATACTTTACTTATAAGTTAGTGGTCAGAGGCTGTGGAATCAAACATATTGAATTGAATCCCAGCTCATTTATAAACTTGTAAATTACAAACATCTTAAACCTCCGTTTTTTATAAATTGTCTAATAAGAGCTATTTATATTATTGTAAAATGTCCCTATTAAAAGGTAGCTCTTGTGAGCTATATTTTTAAAATGATATCCCATATTAACATTGTAGCAGCATGTTAAATTAAATTAAATGTAAATAGCAGAAGTAAATAAGTCCTGAGATTACTTCCCTGTAAATGAGCAAAGAGTTTCGTTTCTGGCTAACAAAAAAGACTTATTTAATTATTTATGTATTTATCTGTCTATTTTTAGTTTGAGAGTAATAGAGACTGAACTACAGTTTAAGAAAGCATAAATAATTTTTGCTTTGAATTTATGTATCCTTTCTGAAAATAGTGTATTTACAGTTAACAAATTACAACAGTTCACAACAGTTTTAGATGATTATATGTACCTATATAAAGTAGCCTCTATTTAGAAAGGAGGGAATGTAATGAAAGAGGTTTCACTCTGTTATTTATAAGACCAGGCTTTTCATCTCATTTATAATCTTATGATAACTTTCATAAGGCAATTAACCTCTTTGATCTGTGAAGTAAATATATCATGTTATAAATAGAAATATTATGTAGTGATCCAAAACAGCAGCTGATCTATGAAAGCTGTATTTCCTTTTCAGATGAAAATTTAGGGCATACAAGAAGAATTAGAATGCAGTATGTTCTACTCTCCCAAATGTACTTTATGCTATTCATTTTGATATGAATAACAAACCTTCTTGTAGTTTCAAACAATTCCTTCTGGGATATGTTCTATGATGGTTATGTAAAATATTTTGCAGATGCTTTATTCCTTTAACATTTGCAAAATTTGGGTTTCATCCTCATGGGTCTTCTGTTTTGTTTAAGGCCGGATAGGGTAAATGTTGGTGCAGTCGTATTAGCATCAAAAAATACCAAGTTGATCAGAGAGTAATTCAAAAGCAAATACACATGGTCTTCTTATAGAGTTAACTAGATTTTACTCTAATGCTCAATAGATGAAAAACATGTTCTACAATTATATGTTCAGGTCAGCTTTCTTAACTCTGTTTAATATCATACAATTCTTTTATTTTTAAATAATTCTTATGTATAATAATTTATTTCACACATTGCCAGTAACTTACATTTAATTTGGGAGTGTTCTCTGGTTTCTGCTTTCCAAGTAGCATATGTCTTATTATTAAAGAGCTTTAAATGCTAGTAACTCTTAGCAGCTAGATATTTTCATTATGCCAATTTTATTGTTATCAACTTGATGAAAGGACAAGAATAAAGCAATCTTTTTATCTCAATATAAATATTAGAACAGCATTCCTTTGATCTTTTGCCTCCTCTGAGTGTATTTTTTATTTGGCACCAGAAAACAACTCAAATTTTTTTTTTTTTTTGAGACACAGTTTCACTCTGTCGCCCAGGCTGGAGTGCAGTGGTGCAATCTCGGCTCACTGCAACTTCTGCACCCCCGGGTTCAAGCGATTCTCCTGCCTCAGCCTCCCGAGTAGCAGGGATTACAGGCGCCCACCAGCATACCTGGCTAATTTTCGTGTTTTTAGTGGCGATGGGGTTTCACCATGTTGGCCGAGCTGGTCTCAAATTCCTGACCTCAAGTAATCCGCCCGCCTCGGCCTCCCAAAGTGCTGGGATTACAGACATGAGCCACAGTGCCCAGCCAACACCTTAAATATTTCTAATTCACAATTCTAATTTTACATGTCACCAAGAAGGAACATTATATTAAACACCAAGATAAATACATAACTGTATTTAGTGTTTTTAAACCCTGTTCTTTCCACTTATACCTGCAAATGAATCTTGATGGAACATAGAGACTTGAATTTTTTGAGCAGCACCGTTTTTTAAAAAAAAATGGTAAAGAATCACAGTCTTGTATTTCTTTCTTTTTGTATAAAAGCAATTTTTTTTCAAAAATACGTATGAACTTTTATTTATTTTGTGAACGCTTTTACCTTTTCAAAGATTTCTAACAGAAAACTATAATACCAGGTACATGCCAATAAAAGGAAAATGTAGCATACCATACATAGTATACTGTACTATGCTATGTAATTATAGCAATATTAGTGTAAATCAAATGCATTTATTATTTTTAGTGTAATCCAATATACTAAGAGATGGAATGTGCTTTATTCATTTACTTATTTTTTTAACTTTATTTATTTATTTATTTATTTATTTGAGATGGAGTCTCGCTCTGTCGCCCAGTCTGGAGTGCAGTGGCGTGATCTCGACTCACTGCAACCTCTGCCTCCCGGGTTCAAGCAATTCTCTGCCTCAGTCCCCCGGGTAGCTAGGATTACAGGCGCCCGCCACCACACCCAGCTAATTTTCTGTATTTTTAGTAGAGATAGGGTTTGACAACCTTGGCCAGGCTTGTCTCAAACTCCTGACCTCATGATCCACTCGCCTTGGCCTCCCAAAGTGCTGGGATTACAGATGTGAGACACCACGTCTGGCCTTTTTTAAAGTTTTATTTTAAGTTCAAGGGTACATGTGCAGGATTGTTATATAGGTAAATTATGTGTCACAGGGGTTTGATGTACAGATTATTTCACTACCCAGTTAATAAGCATAGTACCTGATAGACAGTTTCTCAATCCTCACCCTCCTTCCTCTTTCAACCCTCAAGCAGGCCCTGGTGTCTTTTCCCTTCTTTGTGTCCATATGTACTCAACTTTCAGCTTCCACTTTTAAGACAACATGCAGTATTTGATTTTCTATTACTGTGTTAGTTCACTTAGGATAATGGCATCCAGCTCCATCCATGTTCCTGCAAAGGATACAATCTCATTCTTTTTTATGGCTGCATAGTACTCCATGGTGAATGTGTACCATATTTTCTTTATCTAGTCTACTGGTGATGAACATTTAGGTTGATTCCTTGTTTTTGCTATTGTGAATAGTGCTGCAATGAACATACACGTGCATGGGTCTTGATGGTAGAACAATTTATATCCCTTTGGGTATATAGCCAATGATAGTATTGCTGGGTCAAATGGTAGTTCTGCTTTGAGATCTTTGAGAAATGGTCAAATTGCTTTCCACAATGGCTGAACTAATTTTCATACTCACCAGTAGTGTATAAGTATTCTCTTTTCTTTGCAACCCTGCCAGCATCTACTTTCTGACTTTTAAATAACAGCCATTCTGACTGGTGGGAAATGGTATATCATTTTTTAAAAAAAATTTATTTTAGAGACAGGGTTTCATTCTGCTGCCCAGGCAAGAGTGCAGTGACATGATCATAGATCACTACAGCCTCAAACTCCTGTGCTCACGGAAGTCCTATATTTCTGAATTTGTATACTGGTTCTGTTGATCACTAGCTGCATAAAGTTCAAATATAGATTTAGGCAGCCAAGATGGCCGAATAGCAGTAGCTCCACTCTGCGGCTCCCACCGAGAAGGAAGGAAACAACGGGTGAACTCTGAATCTTCAACTGAGGTACCAAAGTTCTCTCATTGGGGCTGATTAGGTGGTTGGCGTGACCAACGGAGAGGGAGCAAAAACAGGGTGGAGCAAGGTCCCACTCAGGAGCTGCATAAGGCAAAGGGAACGTCCTCCCACAGCAAAGGCAGACGGTGAAGGTTGTGCTTCCCCTCCCTGAAAACCAGGTTTTCCCACAGATCCTTGCAACGTGTGGATCGGTAGGTCCCTTCCTGAGCCCACGCTACCGGAGCCTTGGGTCGCAAGCACAAAGCTGTGGAGAATCACAGCGGCTACTCAGGTGGGGAGCCACTTTAAGCAGGCACTGAGGCGCAGGAGTATTTGCGTACTCTGGCTCTGGGAACTCTCATGAGGCAGGAGATCTGTCTACTCTCGTGGGGAGGGGGCTGAGCCAGCGATCCAAGCGGCCACGCTCCCAGGGAACTCCACAAGCTAAAACCCACTGGCTTGGAATCCCCGCTGCCAGTGCACTCAGCTAGAAACTGCCTAAGAAGACCGAGTTCCTGCTTCCTGCGGGGGAGGGGCGGCGATCACCAATATGGCTCCAGTCTCCAGTCAGCTGCTTTCCCTGCCCGCAGTGCCAGCGAGATGGGGCGGTCCAGAGCTAGAGAGTCCGCCCCAGCCGCAGCCCCGGCCCCAGCCCCGGCCCCAGCCCCGGCCCCAGCCGCAGCCCCGCACAGCACCTGGATCAGTTTGTGGCCAACATAGCACAGCCCCAGCCCCAGCCCCGGCCCCGGCCCCAGCCGCAGCCCCGCACAGCACCTGGATCAGTTTGTGGCCAGCACAGGGCAGCACAGCACAGCACAGCATAGCCCAGCCCCAGCCACAGCCCCAGCCCCGCACAGCACCTGGATCAGTTTGTGGCCAGCACAGCACAGCACAGCACAGCAGAGCAGCAGAGCAGCTGGATCAGTTTGTGGCGGGACTGCTTCTTTTTTTCTTTTTTGAGACGGAGTCTGGCTTTATCGCCCAGGCTGGAGTGCAGTGGCGTGATCTCCGCTCACTGCAAACTCCGCCTTCCTAGTTCCCGCCATTCTCCTGCCTCAGCTTCCTGAGTAGGTGGGACTACAGGCGCCCGCCACCGCGCCTGGCTAATTGTTTTTGTATTTTTAGTAAAGACAGGGTTTCACCGTGTTCAGACTGCTTCCTAAAGCGTACCTGAATCCACTCTCCCTCACTGGGGAGGGACTCCCCATTGGAATCTCAGCATCCTCAGCCAGGGGTTTATGGACAAAACACTGATAACCCTGAGAGGAACCTCTAGGAGGAGGGGTGCCTGCGGTATTGTGGATCAGCCATCTTAGTCTTTTCTTCCTGCTGGCTCTGGAGAGTTAGGGCAGTCCAGAGGAGGAGAATTATTTCCCCAAGCACAGCACACCCGCCCTGCCAAGGGGCAGACAGACTGCTTATTTAAGCGAGTCTCTGAACTGCTCCTCCTGACTGAGACCTCCCAACAAGAGTTCAGACACCTCATATAGGAGCGTTCCCGTTAGCATTAGGTCAGTGCCCCTCTGGGACAGAGCTCCTAGAGGAAGGAGCAGGCTGCCATCTTTGCTGGTCTGCAGCCTCCAATCGTGATATCTCCAGGGACGGGAGGAACCCAGGTGAATAGGGTCTGGAATGGGCCCCAAACAAACCGTGGCAGACCTACAGAAGAGGGGCCTATTGAAAGAAAAACAAACAGAAATCAATAGCATCAACAAAAAAGACCCCCCAAAAAACCCATCCAAGATCAAAGGTAGATAAATCCATGAAAATGAGAAAGAAACAACTCAAAAATGCTGAAAGCTCAAAAAGTCAGAGTGCCTCTTCTCCAAATGATCACAACAGGCCTCCAGAAAGGGCACAGAACTGGGCTGAGGTTGAGATGGATGAACTGATAGAAGTAAGCTTCAGAAGATGGGTAATAACAAACTTTGCTGAGCTAAAGGATTCTGTTCTAACTCACTGCAAAGAAGCTTAGAACCATCATAAAACATTACAGGAGCTGTTAACCATAATAGCCGGTTTAGAGAGGAACATAAATGATCTTATGAAGCTGAAAAACACAATATGAGGACTTCATAATGCAAACACAATTATCAATAGCTGAATAGACCAAGTGGAAGAAAGGATATCAGAGCTTGAAGACTATCTTGCTGAAATAAGGCAGGGAGATAAGAATAGAGAAAAAAAGAATAAAAAGAAATGAACAAAACCTTAGAGAACTATGAGATTATGTTAAAAGATCAAACATACG
The DNA here is from genome assembly GCF_000001405.40 of Homo sapiens. Lineage (NCBI taxonomy): Eukaryota > Metazoa > Chordata > Mammalia > Primates > Hominidae > Homo > Homo sapiens. The sequence goes on along the minus strand of NC_000004.12, from coordinate 132,343,324 downwards.
ATAGGTGTACCTAAAAGAGATGGGGAGAACAGAAAAAAAGTTGGAAAAGACACTTAGGATAGCATCCAGGAGAACTTCCCCAACCTAGCAAGACAGCCAACATTCAAATTCAGGAAATCTAGAGAACCCCAGTAAAATACCCCATGAGAAGATCAACCACAAGACACATAATCATCAGATTCTCCAAGGTTGAAATTAAGGAAAAAATGTTAAGGGCAGCCAGAGAGAAGGGCCGGTCACCTAAAAAGGGAAGCCCGTTAGACTAACAGCAGACCTCTTAGCAGAAAACCTACAAGCCAGAAGAAATTTGGGGCCAATTTTCAATATTTTTAAAGAGAGTAATTTTCAACCTAGAAATTTATTTCCATCTAAAAACTAAGCTTCATAATTGAAGGAGAAATAAAATCTTTTTCAGACAAACCAATGCAGAGAGAATTTGTCACAACCAGGCCTGCCTTGCAAGAGCTCCTGAAGGAAGCACTAAATATGGAAAGGAAAAATTGTTACCAGCCACTAGAAAAAACACACTGTTGTACACAGACCAGTGACAGTATGAAGCAAATACATAAATAAGTCTGCAAAATAACCAACTACAATCATGAAAACAAGATCAAATTCACACATAACAATATCAATTTTATTTGGGAGGCTGAGGCAGGAGGATCACGAGGCCAGGAGATCGAGACCATCCTGGCTAACATGGTGAAACCTCATCTCTACTAAAAATACAAAAAAACATTAGCTGGGCTCAGTGGCAGGCCCCTGTAGTCCCAGCTACTCTGGAGGCTGGGGCAGGAGAATGACGTGAACCCAGGAGGCGGAGCTTGCTGTGAGCTGAGATCACTCCACTGCACTCCAGCCTGGGCGACAGAGCCGGACTCTTTCTCAAAAAAAAAAAAAAATATATATATATACATATACATGTATATACATATACGTATATACATATACATATATACGTATAAACATATACATATATACGTATATACATATACATATATACGTATATACATATACATATATATGTATATGTATATACATTTTAAATGCAAATGGACTAAATGCCCCAATTAAAAGATACAGAGTGGCAAACGGGATGAAGAGTCAAAAATCCATCAGTGTACATATGTACTATTTTATTATGCTTTGTGGGCCCGCTTGCATGGGGAAACCTGGAAGTGTGTGGGCCTGTTTGGAAAATACGTATTACAGCTGGAGGAAGCTAGGAGAGTCTTTTTTCTCTTGAGGATGCTGAACAAACTATGTTGTGCACCTGTGTTTTGATTATAGCCCATCACATGAAGACAGGAGTGGAATTTTCCATTTGTGGTGTCATATTTGCACTATGAAAATTTCAGAATTTAGAACATTTTTGATTTCAGATTTTTTGATTAAGGATGTTCAAACTGTATCCCTGAATCTTGGTGACCTCATCTAAAAAAAGTAGATAAGGACTACCTTAATGAATTGTTTTTAATGTTTAATTAGCAAAATTTAGATGAAATTCTATTACAATACTTAATAAATAGGATGTATTCTATAATATTAAATAGTAGCACTAACGTATTTTTTCTGTTCAAACTCTTCAATTTTTATAGTAAAAATCAGCAAATAGTATCCAGAAAGTTTAGAAAGAAAATAAAGTGTTTTATTATTCTAGCAGCATTGGTAACATATGCTTTTAGTGTTCTTTTTTTCCCTCTGCGTATTGTACTTAGTTTTACAATATAGTATGCATACAATTTATACACTATTCAAAATTTTACTTTTGGTCAGAGGAATTTCTCCATGTTTGGATACAGTTGTATTTTCACAGGTTCACGTATTTTTTCAAATGGGAAAATGAAAATTTAATTTATGTGATTTGAAAAGAGAATGGCATGTACATAGGTGTTTTGCATCGCTCATCTTGAAAACATCTAAATAAACACATATACAAATAAAAATGACCAAGCGTGTTTAAAAGACAAGGGTGATGAAATCCATTGGAAGAAACCTGAATATAGTACTACATAATGTGAAACATTCCTATTAGAAATAATGAAGATATATTTATTGACAAAAAGTTGTCATATATTAAGAGGTAATATAGAAATAGAGTCAAGAATCTATAACTCCCTAATTTGGAGAGTCAAGAGTTGTAGGAGAAACTAGAACGTTGGAGAACCTTTTAATGTGTTAGAAAAGGGGCCCAGTCATTTGTGTGTCTGTGCCTAAAAACAGATACACTGGGCCTGTTAGCTCATTACTTCATTGACCTGAATTGACTCTAATACTCTGGACTTATCCTGGACTGACAGAACACTTTCCTGAAAGAAGAGGAAATTTCAGTAATGACAGATATTGAAATATCAGTGTAAATCTCTGCAAAGTAATGGATCAAACGCTACAGCATTGAGACTAAACATAGTTACATATGAAGCTGACCAAATCAAAATTGAATTTAGAAATACAGTCATCAGCACAGTAGATTCATCAAACACAGAAAAGTAATCAAGCAGAAGAAAAGTTCCATCAAGTCACCTCCCAACTCAATTTGTATGTTGAGTCACCGAAAATAAAATATTTGTATCACCTTGTGTTTCAGCTGAAAACAAGAGAGTTTTTTGTTTGTTTCTCATAGATTAGTAATTGGAGGATAGAATAGAATCCACATATAATTACTGTATAAGTTTCTGACCAAGAAATGCCTCTCCACTCAAGAATGAATATAAGGAAAAAATACATTCCCTAAAACTTTTGAAATAAACAGATTAAGTGAAATATGTATGTGTGTTTGTGTATATATATATATATAGAGAGAGAGAGAGAGAGAGAAAGAGAGAGAGAGAGAGAGATGGAGTTTCCCTCTGTTGCCCAGGCTGGAGTGCAGTGTCGTGATTTCAGCTCACTGCAGCCTCCGCCTACCAGATTCAAGCGATTCTCCTGCCCCAGCCTCCAGAGTAACTGGGATTATAGGGGTGCACCACCACACCCCCCTAATTTTGTATTTTTAGTAGAGACAGGGTTTCACCCTGTTGGCCAGGCTGGTCTAGAACTCCTGACCTCAAGTGATCCACCTGCTTCAGTCTCCCAAAGTGCTGTGATTATAGGCATGGGCCACTGTGCTCAGCCTATATTTTGGAGCATGACTGAACTACATAGATTCAAAGAACACAAGGGGTCACATTGTATGTGTAGAATTTATTACATTATTTATGTAGAATTTAATACTTTAAATTCTCAAATTATCCAATAATTTTAGTAATTTTGGACACGATTTTCTAATAATTTAGGTTTGCACTAAATATATGTGGATAAATACTTACATACATATACACAAATTAACTCAAGATGTGTTAAAGACTTAAAGGCAAGACTTGAAACTGTAAAAATACTAGAAGAAAACCTAGAAAAAGCTCTTCAGAATATCAGCCTAGGAAAATAATTATGGTTAATATCTCAAAGGCAAATGCAGCAAAAACAAAAATAGACAAATGAGGCTTAATTAAACTGAAAAGCTTCTGCACAGGAAAAGAAATAATCAACAGAATAAATAGATAGTCTGCAGATGGAAGAACATATTTGCAAACCTCACATCCAAGAAAGGTCTAATATCCAGAATTGACAAGGAACTCAAATAACAAGAAAAAAACAACCCCATTAAAAAGTGGGTAAAGGACATAAACATTTCTTTTTAATTTTATTTTCAATTATATATTATACATATGTATATAATTTTTTTTTGTTTTTTCGAGACAGGCTATCACTCTGTCACCCAGGCTGGAGTGCAATGGCGCGATCTCGGTTCACTGCAACCTCTGCCTCTTGGGTTCAAGCGATTCTCTTGCCTCAGCCTCCTGAGTAGCTGAGACTACAGGCGTGCACCACCACACCCAGCTAAATTTTGTATTTTCAGTAGAGTTGGGGTTTCACCATGTTGGCCAGGCTGGTCTCAAACTCCTGACCCCAAGTGATCTGCCCGCCTTGTCCTCCCAAATTGTTGGGATTACCTGCATGAGCCACTGTGCCCAGCCTGAACAAACATTTCTTAAAAGAAAAGATAAAAGCAACAAAACAAACATACAAAAAAAATGCTCAACATCACTAATCATCAGAGAAATGCAAATTAAAACCACAATGAGATCTGTCTCCCACCAGTCAGAATGGCTGTTATTATAAAGCCAAGGATGCATATATTGCCAAAGATGCATAGAAAAAGGAATGCTTATATACTGTTGGTAGGAGTGTATATTAATACAGTCTCTGTGGAAAACAGTATGGAGATTTATTAAATAACTTTTAATTAAATAACTAAACATAGAAATACCATTTGACCAGCAACACTACAACTGGTTATCTACTTAAAGGAAAGGAAATCTTTATATCAAAAAGACACCTGTACTTATATATTTATCACAGCACTATTTACAATAGCAAAGCCACAGTATTCATCAATGAATGATTGGATAAGGAAAAGGTGGTGTATATATAAACTATGGAATACTATGCAGCCATAAAAAAATGAGATCATGTCTCTTGCAGCAACACGGATGGAGGCGGAAGCCATTATCCTAAGTGAAGTAACTCAGAAACAGTAAGTCAAATATCATATGTTCTCACTTATAAGTGGGAGCTAAACAATGTGTACACATAGACTTAGAGAGGAGAATAATATAAACTTGGGATTCCAAAAGGTGAGGGTGCTTAGGGTGAGTGTTGAAAAACTACCTATTGGATGTGATGTCTACCATTCAGATGATGAGTACAATGAAGCTCAAACCCCACCACTAACCAATATGTCCATGTAACAAACCTTCACATGTACCCCCTGGATCTATTAAAAAAGTAAGAAAGAAACAAAGAAATTAAAAAAAAACACATCTTTTTAAGGTACCCTTTAGAATATCTTATTAGAACATGTAAAAATAATACTCATGTATATTTATAACATATTTGTATTTGATTTATTGTTCCCAGAAGTTCTTATGAAACCAAGTGGTTTCAGTTAATTTCTCATATACATTATGCTCTTAAATGTACTCATAAACAATGCTACATTAAACAAACATTTTTGTCCAATTAATATACAGTTTAAGATGGCTCCTGAGGTTTTTAGTATTTTGGTATTTTCTTCCCTGAACAGGGTCTCACTCTTTCATCCAGGCTGGAGGGCAGTGGTGTGATCATGGCTCACTGCAGCCTCAATCTTCTGGGCTCAAGTCATCCTCCCACGTCAGTCTCCAGAGTGGTTGAGACTACAGGCATTTGCCATCAAACCAAGCTAATTTTTAATTTTTTTAAATCTAGGATATTGCCATATTACCCAGGCTTGTCTTGAACTCCTGACTTCAAGAAATCCTCCCACATAGGCCTCCCAAAATTGGGACTACAGGCATGCAACAATATTCCTAGCATTTTTCTTCCTTCCTTCCTTCCTTTCTTCCTTCCTTTTTCCCTTTCTTTCGTTCTTTTTTTTCTTTCTTTTTCCTCCCACCTTATCCTGAGTTTTTTAGAAAACAAGACAAGGAGTAGGGAGGGAAAATTTTCTTTAAAGGAAATAATTTTAACAAAAGAATACATAGACATTTTCTTAAGATGATGTATCCCAGACCTTCTCATAGTCCACTCACATGATCCTACCAAAATAACCATCTTTAGCTGTATTAACTGCATTAATTTACTAGGGTTGCAATAACAAAGTACCACAAACCAGGTTGCTTAAAAAATATAAGAAGTTTATCCACCTCCCAAATCAATTTGTATGTTATTCCACCGTTCAGGAGGCTAGAATTCTGAAATCAAGGTTTTGTCATAATTAGTTCCTTCTGAGATCCCTGAGAGAGTGTTCCATGCGTCTCTACTAGCTTTAAGTTAGGACTGGAAATTTTCGATGTTCTTTGGCTTATAGATGCATCTCTCCATCTGACCCTATCTTTACTTGGCATTCTCTCTGTGTTCCTGTATCTTCGTGTAGCCATCTACTTGTAAGGATACCAGTCACTGGATTAGAGGTCCACCCTATTCCAATATGACTTCATCTTAACTAATTATGTCTGTAATGCCCTATTGCCGAATAAGGTCATATTCTGAGGTATTGAGGGTTAGGATTTCAACATTTTTTTTGAGAAACAATTGAACCTATAACCATAACCACACTTTTAGAGCTTCAATAGAGTAATAAGGAGGTAAAGGATCAAACCCTCAGTCTTGCTCCAGCTCAAATTCACTTCTTTGTGAGAAATTTGCTTGGCCATAGAACAGATGATAATGACTTCAATCATGGATTGTCTATTACAAGGCCCACAGCAACACTCTTCTTTTACAATGAAAAATTTAAATGTACAGAAGCTCACCAGAAAAAAATTCAGCAAAATATTTAAAATCCCAAGAAACAACAGTTTTAGATGGATTAATAGGATAAACAGGTATTCTAAAAGACAAAGCTCTTTAAAAACTTCCCTTAATTTGAACATTACCAGAAGAGTTCAGATCATGAACTCAAATATAAATTTTGAAATAATCATTGCATTATCAGTTGTTAGAAGTATTTATTAGTAAAGATGTTTTTGGTGATTGTTATATGTACAGATGCATCTTTCTCTGTATTACCATTTAGAATCAAAATATATCATCTTCAAAATTATTGGGAGACTGGGCATGGTGGCTCATGCCTGTAATCCCAGCACTTTGAGAGGTTGAGGCAGGTGGATCGCTTGAACTCAAGAGTTTGAGATCAGACTGGCAACATAGCAAAACTCCATCTCTACGGAAAATTAAAAAAAAAAATTAAGTAGCTGGGAGTGGTAACTCACTCCTGTGATCCCAGCGATTTGGGAGGCTGAGGCAGGAGGATCGCTTGAGTCCTGGAGGCAGAGGTTGCAGTGAGCCGAGATCATGCCACAGCACCTAGCCTGGGAGAAAGAATAAGACCCTATCTCAAGAAAAAAGGAAAGGAAAAAGACAAAAGTTATTAGGGTATACAGGTAACAGTTTTTAAATGTCAAGTGATTTTTGTGGGCAAAAATTCAATAATAAACATATTGAATTTTTATTAGGAATGTAACAATGTCTGTCTATTTCTTGAGAATTACACTTTGATTATTGACCTATTACTCAGTAACACCATTGTTTCACTTTCTATTAGCAGTTTTTTCAGTATTTATTTTATAATAGATAGCTCATAAATGCAGAGGCAATGCTATATTTAGCTGTACGCTATGAATATGGGTAAATTCAGTTGTTATCAATGGCAGATTCAATCTGGAAATTGCATAACAATGTCCTAAAATATATACTGTTTACATGTGCTTCAATTAGAATGAAGAAAAATTGTTGACTTGTCATTATAAAAGAAATTACTGGGATATAACACGTACGTTTTCACGGAGTCTATTAGAATTGTTCACTTTAAACCTGATTGAAGAAACATATGTTTTCATTATAATAATATGCACTGGATTTGACATTGAGCATATTTTTTTTTAATTGTTTTTGAAACAGGGTCTCTTTCTGTTGCCCAGGCTTGAATGCAATGGTGTGAACACAGCTCATTTCAGCAGCGTTGACCTCCTGGACTCAAGATATCCTCCTCCATCAGCCTCCCTAAGTAACCAAGACTACAGGTATGAACCACCATACTTTTTGTAGAGACGGAGTCTCATTTTGTTACCTAGAATTCCTGGTCTCAAGCAATCCTCCCACCTCAGCCTCCCAAAGTGCTTGAATTACAGATAGGAGCCACCACACCCAGCCCAGCATCTTTCCTTTAAAAAATTATCAATGTATATTTCATGAAGTTTCTATAATTTTCTATATACAGGGAAATGCCATCTCATAGACTGTTGCTTTTAGCTGACTTATAAGTTATTTCTTGAAAGTTCCAAAGACCACATTTAATTGAAATTATTTGTTCATTTGTTTTATTTATTAATGAAGTTCACGCATTTAAGTATATTTTGGTTTACTTGAGAAATTTAGATGTGCTTTTAATAAAAAATAAGAATTTATATTTTATAAAGAAAAGGCTTACCTAATAGCTACTTGAATTTATTGATTATATATTATTGTTGAGTATACTTGATAACATTCTTGACATAATTCCAAAGTTTAATGGGCATTAAAATTAATGGTTGAGCTACTAAAAATTCTGTTAGGGTAATTTGGTCTAAAAAGCATTGTATCCAAGTTCACGGCTAAATGAACCACAAAATTATTGAGGGCATTTGTGGATTACTGAAATGGAGTAATATTTATAAACATCTAAAATAATGAGTATGACCTTCAACTTCATGGCATCTTGTGAATACCAACCAATAGGAAGTAAAGCAAACAAATAAAACAATACTTTTTTCTGTTCATCAAGACCTTTAACCTCTTTCTGCTGACTTAAATTTATAATCATATTGGCTCTCAGGGCCAGCTAGTTCATTGATTATACACAAGGCACATCTCCCTTTTGCCATGAAGGAAATAAAGTATCACATTTTAAGGGGGTTATGAGTAGTACTCTTAAAGGGATGGTATCATAAGTTCAGCATCCTTTGTATACTAATTTATTTTAAAAGTGTTTCAGTTTCTGTTATGGTTATTGAACAGTTTCAGTGGTCTTTCTCTTTTTTGAACAAATATGATAAATTAGACACTGTTTAAAAACATCCATCTCTGCCTCAAGACCATAACACCTAAATCCTATTTGAGTTTCTAGCCTGCTGGCCTGCTGTATAGACCTACCAGCCCCCTCAATTGTTAGCCAATTGCTTAAAATAAATTTTTATCTATCTATGTATCTATGTATCTATCTATCTATCTTTGATCTGTCATCCATCCATCCATCCTATTTGTTATGTTACTCTAGAGAACCCTCAGTAATAAACTCAGCTAACATGATAGCATTTTTTTTCAGGTTTCTCATCTGCTTTATTAGAAAGTCATGCTATTCATATTATTTATTTTAATTAACAAAATTGCTGAAGCCTTGATGCCAAATAGCACAATAACAAATGTCTGTTCCACTATCACCCTCAAAGGTTTTGCATGATGAATCGCATCCCTTATTCATCCTTCCAACATGAAGACCCAAACTGATGTGGAAATTTCATTTAAAAACTTCCATGCTTCCTGCACATGACTCCATGAATTTTAAAAGATTTACTTTTTTTATGCTTAGTATTTTTTGGATTGTCGTTTTTTTTAAAAATCTTGCTCAAGGTCTGTATGTATCCTTGAATCGTATATTTTACTCAGAGATACCCTCATATTGAACTATCTTCCCTGAACTTAATATTTATTGGCTTACATTTCAGGACTTTGTTTCTGACATATGCTCATTTTCTCCATGAACTGTAATAATAGGAAAAAGGTATCCTATCTTTCCTCAGTCCATGGAATATCACCAGATTAGACCTGGTATCCCTCTAAATCCTAATGGAAAAAAAAAAAACATGACAGAGATACATGACTCACAGCACATTGCTAAATCCTTGCGAATTTTTTCAGTGTGCCTCTTAACTGACCTGTCTGAGAAATTTGACATCTCTAAACATTCTTTTCTTTTTTACAACTTTCCCTTCTTGATATACATTGGACAGCCAGGTTGTGCTGCATTAGATCTTTTAAGACTTCTCTTTTATGCCTCTAAAATACTCACATACTTTCTTTAATACCATGACAAATTTATCATAAGCATTGACTAAAATACTATTTATATCCCACTGTCTCAAGACAAAATTGAAACTGAATTACTTGTCTCAGCATGTGACTGCCCAGTTCTGTAACTTGCACAACTATAGAGCTCACTAATGAATACACACTTCTTACCAGTTATTTTCCAGTGATCCAAAGTCACTTAATATTAATGTGTAAAAAAATTAATTCATCATCTCTGCCACCCATCTCTATCCTATTCCAATCTTGCTGTCTGCCATATCTCAGTAAATCCATATTATCTACCCAATATGATAAGATGTAAATCTAAGAACTAGAATTATCTTCATACTCAGTAATCCTCACACCTATTGAATCACATAATCTTATAAGTGTACATCCTAATAATTTATCATTCTGTTTCAATTTATTCTTTGGCCACTGTCCTTGTTCTTGTCTAAGTATTTATCATATTATGACTGGAGCTTTACAAAATTCCTTGTGTCAATTTCACATTCTCTAGTCACATCCCTCTATCCTGTCTTCTCCTCCACTGCCCCTAGTGGTCATCCTAACATGATTATATCAACTCGCAACTTAAAATCATTTGATAGCTCCTCAGCAGCTACAGAATAACATTTAAACACAAGATAAAATCTCAAGTCAAAAAGTTACATCATCTCAATTCCTTCTTCCATGGTCTGATTCTTCACTTCTCTCTTTGGTCTTTATACTCAAGTGATGCCATAGTTCATGGTATATATTAGTTTTGTGTTACTGCTGTAACAAATCATACCAAATTTGGTTTCTCAAAAGAATATACATTAGTTATCTCATAGTTTTATAGGTCAGAAGTCTAAGTTGACCTGGCTGTTTCCTGTGCTCTAGGTTTCATAAGGCTGAAATCAAGGTGTCAGCCAGCTGGGCTGGATTTTTATTGAAAGACTCTGCAAAGAATATGGTTCCAAATACCATATTCATATGGAATTTGGAAATAACAACTTCAGTTGTTGTTGGAATCCAGTTTCTTGTGGTTTCATGACTGAAGTCCCCATTTCCTTGCTGGCCGTTAAAGTTGGCCCTTAGCTCCTGGATCCCCATCATTGTTATGACCTCTCACTGTGTATGAATACCTACATCTCAGAGCCTGCAGTGTTGCTTCAAATCCTTCTCACACTTGGAATTTCTTTGCCTTTTCTTCCTAACACATCTCTCTGACTTCTGCCACCACTCTCATAGGTCTCCATTTGGAGAAAGTTATCTGCTTTTAATGGCTCATGTAATTAGGTGGAACCAACCTAGACAACAGAGAGTAATCTCCCTCTCCTAAGGTTCTTAACCTTAATTCTACTTTCAAAACCCCTTTGCTATGTAGCATAACGTATTCACAGGTTTCAGGGATTAGGGCATAGACATCTTAGGGGGACCATTATTCAGTCGATAATATTTCTTATTTCTTCATGCTTTTATTCATGCTCTTGCACCATGCGATAATATATCTACCTTTTTACCTGTCTGGAATACTGCTCTACATCCTTCATAACCCAGCTTAAAAACTGCCCCTTCTGAGAAAACAGGACTGCTTTGATGAAACTTCTACAATGTCACCATTTCTGATTTTCTTCTATCTCCCTTATGTGATTAACTTATTTTACTGAACCTGTGAATATCTGTATGTTTACTAGAATGTAAAACATGTGAAAATAGAGATGATGCATTTTATTTATTTATTCTTATTTTTGAGATGGAGTCTCACTAGTCACCCAGGCTGGAGTGCAGTGGCGCAAGCTCGGCTCACTGCAACCTCCGTCACCCGGGTTCAAGAGATTTTCCTGCTTCAGCCTCCTGAGTAGCTGGGATTACAGGCATCCGCCAACCAACCCCAGCTAATTTTTGTATTTTTAATAGAGACAGGGTTTCACCATGTTGGCCAGGCTGGTCTGGAACTCCTCACTTCAGGTGATTTGCCCACCTCGGCCTCCCAAAGTGTTGGGATTACAGACGTGAGCCACTGCGTCCGGCCCATATTTTATTTTTATGCCACCATAGGAAGTCCATCATAAAAATGTAAAGAGTAAATTAAAAAATGATTTATTAGTATGACATCCGTATAAACAAATCTTTTCTAGTAACTTTGTATTATTCTAATTGAGTTAGCATGCATTGTATTACTCAATTACTTCCCTTAAGACCCTATCTCTAAATATATTTACATTGGGGGGTAGGACTTCAACATATGAATGCGGGTGGGAGCGCAATTAAGTTCAAAGCAGTATACATGTGTTAATGCCTGGATCATTGAAAGAATTTTGTGCTTAAGCTTTTAATATTACAGTGACTCAAACACATGAACTTCTAGTGCCACATGATGTGGAGAATTTTATTGGAGAAAAACTTACAATCAAAGAACTAGTAGAAACAAGTCATATTCAAAATCTCTTTATTCCACAGCTTAGACTAGATATAAATGTTTCCTGGATGACTAATAATTGGTAGAGAAGGGCCCTCTCCTTTATAATGCTCTACGTGTTTATAAAGTCAGGGGGCAGAAGTATCTAGGTGATCATGTAATCATGGAAGCTCCTGGTTATGGAAGGCTTAGTAAAGGGGAACCTCTAGAGCCTACTGGCTGGTATCAACTTGTTCTTCTGCTGAGCTAACTTGGAACTTCAGTGTAAACTCAGCTACTAGCGGTAGACAATTAACCTCCAGGACTATCCATATATGTCACTTATCCGTTTTCAGTGAAAATTTATTTTCAAAAGGCAATATGGCATAGTGAGATGACATGATTTAATGATCTTTTAAGTCAGACAGACATTTATAGAAATCACAGATGTGTCATGTGTGAGTTGTGGTTTTTAAATTCTTTTAGGAAAAGGAGTTTAAAATGATTTTTATAATATAGACCATTAATATTATTGGGTATATGAGTTTAAAACATACATATTAGCACAACATATACAAAACCTCCTGTATTCAGTGATGATTAACTTTTCAAACCACTACCCTTCCATTTTAAAATTAACTTTCAGAAATGAACTTCCCATGGTCTCCTAAGACCACTGAAAATGTAAGGTTTTATTTATTATTTTAAGTATTTCATGCTGAATAAAAGCTACCAGAAACCAAGCTTTACTTACTGAGAATTAAGTTATAGCAGAAATGACTGATTCTCTGGTTATTTATGTAACTTTCTCATTATTTGGAAACTGGATATACACAGAATTCTTGACATTCCTGTCTTTTTAATGTGCTAGGAAATTATTACTATTTGTCCTCTTTTTTTTTTTTTTAATAATGCAACACTTTTCAAATGTATGACCAATTTACCTGACAGAGGAAATCAGTGGACAAGAAATTAGTTGATAGGTTGAGGAGAGAAAGCTCCTCTAATTTAGAGTGATGATAGGTAATTGTAAGTCTGGAAGCTATTATATTAGTTATTATGAAAATTGACAAGAGAATGGGGTTTCTGATGCACTCTTTATTAGTGTGATAAAGAGGTCTAAAACACAGAATTCGTTTACTAGTTAGTTCATCCATTTAAGGAAGAAAACTTCTCTTAGAGGGAACAAAAATATATTTATACATGAAAAATTTAATGCAGTGATGCTAAGGTTTTAAGAAAATGAAAATATTAAAATAATAATATCAACCTCTCCTATAAAGGTCCAGAATATACAGATTTTTGTATTTGAAAATATTTATAAAAATAGTTGGATAAACTTTACTCGAGGCTAATGTGCCATCAAGGCCAAGATTCTTTGATGATCAATACAAGATAAAAGCTATTGTTATGAGGAACTCTGATGACTAAAGACCTTCAAGAACTTAAGGCCATTCAGATGTAATTTTTCAAAGTAGATAAAAATAAAGCTGTAATGGTAATTTGGGAAAATGTACAGAAGTATTTTTTTCTCCTTATGTTTTTGTCTACTTTATGACTTATAAATTTAAAAGACAATATATACTTTATAGTAAATACTTCTAACATTTTGTCTTTGAAAAAAATGACTACTTTTAGTACCACTACCGAATCTAGGACTGATGATATGTAGCAAATGTATTTTCAAGATATCTTAATATATTTTTATATAAAATGAGAAAAATGTTATTTCCATATGGCCAGATATTTGATTTAATCTTTTTAATTCACCCAAACTTGAGTTTATAATATTACTTGCATTGTATAAAAATATGTTGTTATTTTGACATAGAATTATATATTCCAAATGCAAATGAGTTGCCTTAAAACCAGTCAGCTTTTATCAAAATCTAAATAAATAATAATGTTTCTGAAGAAAAATTTTAGGTACAGTTTTGTAGTTCATCTGTAAAATAATTGACTTTAAAGTTGAGATGTTACTTGGCATTTTAAAATCTTACAATAAAATTAAAGAGAATACAGTTCTCAATTTAAGAAAAAAATGAAAAAAATGAAAGGAGGGTCCCATAAGTGACTGCAGCATAGCAATTGATTTATATATTTGTTTTTGACCACTGTGAAAAACCATTTGTTTAATAGTTCGGAATTTGTTAAATCACTGTAGAGAGGCCTTGCTTTTTCTTCTATGAACTCTTAAATATTTGGTAGCTGCCATCTCATTAATGATGTAAATGATGGCTTCTAAGAATATGTCATTTCTCCATTTGTTAAACTATGCTATTTTCAAGCTGCTATTCAAAATATTATTTGCTAGATACATTACTATGAGTTTCTCAGGATTACGTTACTCTTCCTTCTCTGTTTTATATTTTCTATGACTCATAGCATATCATGTTTATATGCCCTGCCCATTGTTGTCTTACAGTAGATATTCTATAATTGTCCAACTGATGGACATTTTATGCTTCTCAAAACAGATACTTTTAAATGGAAATGGGAGGAAGAGTTAACACATTCTTGTTCTTAAAATAAATTTTATTTATAAATTAATATTTCAAGTTATTTATTATACATTGGTTTTATAAAATAGTAATTCAAAAGTTTTCTGATAGATTATTTGATTATAAATGCAGTTCAAAATTCTACATATTAAGAATTAAAAATGTCAGTGACTGAGTACAAATTATATTCCCAGTTTGCAGCCTTCAACATTGTAGTTGCTAAGTGAATAAATTAATTAAAACCACCTCCACAACCTAATATAGACTATGGTATAATCCAGCTTTGAATTATCTTTCTGTGCTTCTCAAAATTTTTACTCTAAGATTCTATGACTGTCAATTTTTTTTTCAGAGAAAAAAATGTGGCAGAAACTTAAAATGGGGCAAGACATTTTAAATTTAAGAGGATAAAAATTCCCTATAGCTGTAAGAGTTAAAGAAAGAGGAAAGAAACACGAAATGCGGATCAACAGTCAAAGACAGTTTTATTTTAGAAAAATAAACCTGAGAGGGGCTTCTGGCTTGGAATGTTTCTGTGTAGGGGAGAAGTTTTATGGTGGGGTTGGAATGTCTCTGGGCAGAGGGGAGGTTATCTTGGGGCTGATATCTTTCCAGAAGGGAGGTTATCTCAGGGCTGACATCTTCCCAGCCGTAGGCGGATTATCTCAGGGCTGGCATGTCTCTGGTTGAGGAGGGGTTTGGACTGTTTCTGTTGAGAGATGTTATTAGTGGTTTATGGTCATGCTGACCTTAGCAATTAGGCTGCTGCCCTTTGGATTTAGGCAGTTTTTTGATCAAGGTGAACTTTAGAATGGTGGTGCTTGTCCCAGATGGTGATGTTCCTGCTCTGTCAATAGCTGTTTCTTCTTACTTACCTTTTGAGGTTTGGATGGCATGGCTTTCTCACTCTGGTGGTAATGAATTGTTTTATCCTATGAAAGAAATAGCACAATAACAGTATAATTATATTAAGTGTCACTGAAATAATACTTATTACATTATTCCAGGGATATGTTTGTGCTTTGTTGATATAAAGGACTACAATTAAATTTTTCAGGTCAATTTGAAAAAGGAAAAATTAAATATGGCATACGTATAAAGTAACTGCATAACAGTGAAGCACAACATAAAAGGCAAGCAAAATAGCATATCAGCCTTGAATTTTAGACACAATAATCATTTTAAAAAATTGATTAATTGCTTTACATGTTTATTTTTATTAGCATAGACTTTAACTTCAGTTTTATAATCACACATAAAAAATGATAACTCTCATATGCATATCTTTCTCCCAATCTTCTTAAAAAATGCATTCAAACTTAATACAACTCTCTTCAGTTATAAAATTATAAAAAGTAATTTGTTTTCTCAATAATGGATTATTTCATCATATCAATATTCAAGTATAAGACATAAACATAATTTTGCTATTCATTAGCTCTTTTATAATCTTAGTCTGTTTTGATTTTTTATGATTTTAATTTTATATCTTGTCCCTAGATTTTCTTGAAGATTTTTTTCTAAAAATATTGTAAGTTCTGATTAGCACTATCATCAAACAGATCTAATTTTCTATAAATAAAGCAACAAATTATTTGCCTAAGTAAAAATTGTTATTTGTTCTTATTCTTCATTGCCTTTTCTATCTTTTACTTAGGCAAGCCTTTTAAGGTTTTCTTTTTATGCTTACACCATATGTTTTATGGCAATATAGATCAAATTTGTTTTCCATCTAGTTTAAGTAATTTAATCCTTCTATTTTTCCAAATTTTTGAAATTTCTGTTGATCTGAGTTTTGTATATTTCTGCTTTCTAATATGATGTTTTTGTTTGACCTAACTAGACTGAGATTAGTTTCTTTGTAATAGGATATTGGCTTTTGCCACAAATAACTTCATAAGACACCTGTAAACATACACACAGGTCAGAATTCTAACATAAATATATTTTATCATTTTTCTTAAAACTAGTGAATAGAGTATTTTAATACTCTGAAAATGATGATCTTACTTATCCCATTAGCTACCTCAAAGAAGATTTTGATTGTCCACCCTGAAAATTTACATTTTAGAAAGTTTCTGAATTAAACCCTAAGGGAATCCTTTTCTCTGCAATTATCCTTGTTTATCATCCCTTTGATTTTATTTAACACATTATCTGACAACAAGAAAAGATACATGACCTTAATCTTGCTGATCCTCCTATATCTATTAGGCAAATGCCTAATTTAACAAATGACTCTTCTGCTTTGCCCTAAAACCAGAAAACTCATTTTTCCTCAAACTAATCAATGAAACCAGTTTAGAAAATCAGTGTTTCTTCTCTTGAGGGAAGAAATGTAACAAGGGAAAAACAAGAAAGAAAAAACATAACTTAAACGCATTGTTGAAACATGAAAACTGCATTTTAAAACTGTGAATCTAGATTGCATACATACTTCAAATAATGGCAGAGGAATCAGCACAGCAGCACCTGCAGTTGGAGCCTCACATCACCATTGCCTGAACTTTGTTTATTATTATCATTATTGTTATTATTATTATTATTATTGAGATGGAATCTTTAGTGTTACCTAGGCTAGCCTCAAATTGCTTGGCTCAAGTGATTCTCCTGCCTCAGCCTCTTGAGTATAAGCCCTGTTTTTGTTATTTGAAGATTGACATACCAGTCGACAGTATACACGCAATGGTGTTTGAGATATTGTACATTTTTCATAAATGTGTGTTAAATTAATATGACATCATGTCACCTTGATGTTATATGAATGAGGTATGCTGATAAAAACTTTATTCCTTCTGCTTTTTCAATTTTAAAAATGTAGAATAAATTTCTTTTGGTTATACCCTGAATGAGAACCACATTTCAATTTTATCTATATTCTCTAAGTAAGCAGTGAATTCACTGTTTTACAAACACCCTAACTATTCACAGATTTAAATTTAAACAACTACCAAACAAAACCACTGAAGCATTATGCAAAAGACCTCGCCGAGGATGTTATTAACCCATGTCATGGTCTTACTTTTCATGAACTTTATAGTGTTATTTAAGTTTCTGAGGATATGTACAAGTTACTGTTAAACAAGCAAAATCATAGATTCAGTCAATAATTTAAAACAAATTTTCTAGAACTCTTATAAATTCATAGACTTAAATTTCAGATAAACAGTACTTTCCAAAAATTTATGTATATCTTCTCAATATTCTGTATTGTCTCCATAACTATACTTCATCATCTTTTCTTTCATAAATTTATTTCCTACATTCATGAGACACTTTTGGTTGTTCAAATAATTAGTAATAGGAGGTGCATTAATTTTACTGGTAAACATTGGAAGAAGAAAAACCAGAATTTGTTTGATAAGACTAAACTTCACTAATTATTAACAGTGGCAGAAAATATGTAACACTAAGAGGAGGAATTGTGATATACTGGGTCTTATAGAGATTAGAACTGAAATCTTATTCATGATACAAAGCAGCCCTATGGAGTAAGCTATTATTTTAATGACATGTTTTGTTATCAAGCATAATAATTTTAAGAACAGTTATAATAAACTGTAACAAAAAATAGTAATTTATGAATTTCTGTTATGGGGCTTCATCTTTTCAAAGTACTCTCTACATTTCTACTCCCTCACAAATCAAAATACAGTCATTTGTGACTTATCCCAGTTGTGTATTGAGAAATATATTTCATCACTGTGCAAACATCATAGAGTATAGCTACACAAACCTACATGTTATAACCTACTACATACCTAGGCTATATGGTACAGCCTGTTACCCCTAGGCTACAAACCTGTGCAGCATATTACTGTACTGAATGCTGTAAACAATTGTAATCCAATAAGTATTTGTATATCTAAACGTATCTAAACATTAAAAGAGGTACAGTAAAAATACAAAATTATAATCTTATGGGACCACTTTCATCTATGTGGTCTGTTATTGACGTCATGTGGTTCATGACTATACAACAATTACAGCAACAAATATTACTTATTTTCCCTTTGAGTTTTATGTTGACATGCTAGAAGAAACTAATTGATCCCTTTCTTTGCATTGAAGTTTTCATTGTCCTTGTTGGGTAAATATCTTGCAGCATAGCACAAAATGAATCATTATCAAACTATAGACTGACCAGTCAGGTCACTTCTGGTAATACATTGTGAATACATGTGAAGGGTTCATGTGGTGGAGAAAATTTTAGAACATGGACACAATGAATTGACAAAAGGATTTGAATCAAACCAGTGCCCAGGCTTTTAAATGTTATGCCACAATATGTCTCTATGAATGTTGATCTTAGTTACAATCAAGGTGCTACCTAATAATTGGAAGAATATGATTCCTAAAACAATCATCCTGAGCTCTTTCACACAGTATTTCTTCATGTATTCCATAAGGCTGTTATTAGGTGCTCCCATAATTTACTATTTATAAATGTTTTAACATTCTATTTTTTTCTAATTATCTGTTTACATTTAATTCTTCCAATAGAATGCTCTCTGAAGGGAGTTAGTTCTAAAATATATTTGTACTTTCTATATTTATATCGCTAATATTTAGCCTAAATCTGGTATATAGCAGTTACCATTTAAATGCTTCTTGAATGAATTAAAATGGATGTTATTTAAGAAGAAAATATTTTAACAAAACATCTTCAAAATAAATATTTAATAAACTTACTTTATAATTTTATAATTTTATTCATAAATAGTGACTTCCCCTATGCTTGAGTTTATCTTTCAGGTGCATTGGTAAGCCCATGTGCTGAGCATGGTAGCTACTGAAAGAAAAAGAAACACATTTTATGTTATATCAATTTACATGAAAATTTTATAGTAATCATGATTTAAATATTTTCTTCTATAGCTTCCTGTATTTAGGGGGCTGTGCATTGGCATTGTGTCACCTAATATAGCAGGTATTCTTCCTAGGATAAGTGTCAGACATACTTCTTAGGTTATTTTATTCATAAGAAGTAAAATAATATTGAATTCAGATGTATTATTCCTATTTCTCAAAATATTTGTTAGCTTTATTGCTCTGAATTTTGATGAAAATTTTTAAAGATTCATAAACATGATTTTTATTAACTTATATTGAAATTTTATTCTAATACCTTAAAAAATAAATTCATTGAGAATAAATGTTGATACATAGGGCCTTAGTGGTTTTATAACTAAAGATTATAACCTTGAACTTAATATTTAATGGGTCTTTGATTTTTTCTATGACAAGCAATGTTATTTTACTTTTCATCAAAATATTTAAATTGATTTTGTGTATCTGTTCAATTTTGACAAATGGATCACAGTTCTTTGAAACTGGAGTCTACATGTTTAATGTACTTCCCATTCATGCCAACTCATCCTATCTCTATATTGGGTATTCAAAATAAAAAAAGCATTCAATTATTGATTGTTATTGGCAATTTTTTCGTCTGGACATCAATAAGATGGGAAGAAATATATTCTGTTTTTGAGATGGAGTGTCACTCTGTCGCCCAGGCTGGAGTGCTGTGGCACGATCTCTGCCCACTGCAGCCTCTGCCTCCCAGGTTCAAGCGATTCTCCTGCCTCAGACATCCAAGTAGCTGGGATCACAGATGCACACCACCACGCTAGCTAATTTTTGTATTTTTAATAGAGATGGGGTTTTGCCATGTTGGTCAGGCTGGAATTGAACTCCTGACCTCAAGTGATCTGCCCACCTAGGCCTCCCAAAGTGCTGAGATTGCAGGCATGAGCCATCATGCCCCACCAAGAAATATATTCTATTTTTTTTATTATACTTTAAGTTTTAGGGTACATGTGCACAACGTGCAGGTTAGTTACATATGTATACATGTGCCATGTTGGTGTGCTGCACCCATTAACTCATCATTTAACATTAGGTATATCTCTTAATGCTATCCCTCCCCCCTCCCCCCACCCCACAACAGGCCCCGGTGTGTGATGTTCCCCTTCCTGTGTCCATGTGTTCTCATTGTTCAATTCCCACCTATGCGTGAGAACATGCGGTGTTTGGTTTTTTGTCCTTGTGATAGTTTGCTGAGAATGATGGTTTCCAGCTTCATCCATGTCCCTACAAAGGACATGAACTCATCATTTTTTATGGCTGCATAGTATTCCATGGTGTATATGTGCCACATTTTCTTAATCCAGTCTATCATTGTTGGACATTTGGGTTGGTTCCAAGTCTTTGCTATTGTGAGTAGTGCTGCAATAAACATACATGTGCATGTGTCTTTATAGCAGCATGATTTATAATCCTTTGGGTATATACCCAGTAATGGGATGGCTGGGTCAAATGGTATTTCTAGTTCTAGATCCCTGAGGAATCACCACACTGACTTCCACAATGGTTGAGCTATTTACAGTCCCACCAACAGTGTAAAAGGGTTCCTAGTTCTCCATATCCTCTCCAACACCTGTTTTTCCTGTTGTTTCCTGACTTTTTAATGATCTCCATTCTAACTCGTGTGAGATGGTTTCTCACTGTGGTTTTGATTTGCATTTCTCTGATGGCCAGTGATGATAAGCATTTTTTCATTTGTCTTTTGGCTGCATAAATGTCTTCTTTTGAGAAGTGTCTGTTCATATCCTTCACCCACTTTTTGATGGGGTTGTTTTTTTCTTGCAAATTTATTGGAGTTCATTGTAGATTCTGGATATTAGCCCTTTGTCAGATGAGTAGATTGCAAAAATTTTCTCCCATTCCGTAGGTTGCCTGTTCACTCTGATGGTAGTTTCTTTTGCTGTGCAGAAGCTCTTTAGTTTAATTAGATCCCATTTGTCAATTTTGTCTTTTGTTGCCATTGCTTTTGGTGTTTTAGACATGAAGTCCTTGCCCATGTGTATGTCCTGAATGATATTGCCTAGGTTTTCTTCTAGGGTTTTTATGGTTTCAGGTCTAACATGTAAGTCTTTAATCCATCTTGAATTAATTTTTGTATAAGGTGTAAGGAAGGGATCCAGTTTCAGTTTTCTACATATGGCTAGTCAGTTTTCCCAGCACCATTTATTTAATAGGGAATCGTTTCCCCATTTCTTGTTTTTGTCAGATTTGTCAAAGATCAGATAGTTGTAGATATGCGGCATTATTTCTGAGGGCTCTGTTCTGTTCCATTGGTCTGTATCTCTGTTTTGGTACCAGTACCATGCTGTTTTGGTGACTGTAGCCTTGTAGTATAGTTTGAAGTCAGGTAGCATGATGCCTCCAGCTTTGTTCTTTTGGGTTAGGATTGACTTGGCAATGTGGGCTCTTTTTTGTTTCCATAAGTAGTTTTTTCCAATTCTGTGAAGAAAATCATTGGTAGCTTGATGGGGATGGCATTGTATTCTTATATAATTTTCAGAGAAAATTTATGTTTGAACCTTAAACAGTTGGTGACACGCTTTCTGTTTTATAGTCCTTAAAATATGTCAACAACAAATAATAACATTAAAACACACGTTTTCAGGTAGTATTTTTATAAATTAAATATTGTTACTATTGTATGTTAAGACTAGTTAAGAAAAAAATGTGTTAAAATACTTGAAATAGTACCGTCAATGAATCATTTTGAATAGAGCCAGAGAAGATTACCCAATAGAAATTTAAGCTCACTTGCAGTGGTAGTGCGTGACTGTCATCCTGCCTGCTTGGTTGGCTGAGGCAGGAGGATCCCTTAAGCAAGGAGTTCAATGCTATGTATTGTACTGTGTATCGTACTATGATCACACGTGTGAATAACCATATTACTACAGCATGGGTAATATAGTGAGACCTTGTCTCTAAGAAAAATGAAGGAAGAAAGGAAGGAAGGAAGGAAGGAAAGAAGGAAAGAAGGAAGGAAAGAAATTTAATCTAAATGCCTCTATTTTCCTGTGTATTTCTGCCAAATGAGGAAATGAAAGTAGGACTAGGTTTAGGTAAGATGGGTATATTGCTGGGAAGTTGCTGATTATGTGAATTTATTATTACTTGTGTATTAACAGGAGTACAGGCTTTTTGATTTTCAGCAGATTTCTTTTTCCATTTTTCAGTCTCCAATAATTCTCTGGCTGTGGCTTTCTCAGATTATTGCTGAATCTCTCTCCTTGCCTCATGCCTTGTCACTCACCTTCTCATTTTGTTGGTTTATTCTTTTATTTTATTCAAAACAGTTGAGAATATTATACTTAGGCTGCATTATATTCTATGAAAAACTACACATGGTAGACCCTAGAAGCATGAATCCAAAGGGTTTTTCTTCTGAATGGGGAACAAAAAGGAAAATGTAACAGAGTCCCAGTGACTAGAGCATGATAATTCTAGTGGACTGGGTTGCCAAAATCTCTTCCTACCTAGTAGTGAAGAGGCCTTAAAGTGATAAGGCTGAGAAACACCATCAGTAAAGAAGCAGGAAATTTGTTGTCATAAGGATTATTTCTTCATATAAAAAGGATTTCAGAAGTGGAACACCTACCCATAACCTTGAAAATCAGTGGTAAATTAGTCAATGGCACCTAACAACATTGGCATCTAAAAACACTAATTGCATACCTTTGCCTCCAGAAGTCTGTACATATTTGATACAGATTATAGAAATAATGAGAATCCGGTGGGGTTGAAAATTACTCAGAATTGAAAGGGACCCAGATCCATCTGTTCATCCCCATGCTTACTAAGAATATTCTCTAATTGAAAATTTGATGTGAGGTCACTGAGCCTCTATAGAAAGTATTTCAATGACAATGAATTCTATTATTTTACAGTTCTGTATCTTACAGTTATATTCCTACTCTTTTCCAAATTAGAATGGTTATAATATTGCTTTAAAGAACAATACAGCATAATTAACATATCTAACCTTAAAACAGCACTTTCAAAATTTAAAGACCTCTGACTACAAATTTGGTGTTTTATAGGACCAAGAAAAAAATCGAGATTTTAAAATTTTACTACATATGGTAGCCAATTCTGACAAGAGATATCTTAATAAATATCAACTAAAAACAAATTGTATAATGCTAATCAAGATTAATATTATTTATGTCAATGATATTATAACTATATAAAATTTTAGTATGAAAGCAGGCATTTAGTCTTCTTGAAGTTAAATACTTCTGAGGAAGTATTACATAGTCCACATTTCTTCTATAGAAATATATATGCGGCCGGGAGTGGTGGCTCATGCCTATAATCCTAGCATTTTGGGAGGCCTAGTGGGGTGGATTGCCTGAGCTCAAGAGGTCCAGACCAGCCTAGCAACACAGTGAAACCCAGTCTCTACTAAAATACAAAGAATTAGCTAGGTGTGGCAGTGTGCACCTGTAATCCCAGCTACTTGGGAGACTGAGGCAGGAGAATTGCTAGAACCTGGGAGGCAGAGGTTGCAGTGAGCCCAGATCATGCTACTGCACTCCAGCCTGGGTGACAGAGCAAGACTCCATCTCAAAAAAAAAAAAAAAAAAAAAAAAGCAATTTTATCACAATTATCCCTTCAAATGTTCTATATTCCTTAAATTGAAAGACAGAGTTTATGTCTGTAACTCTCAGACTGCCAATAGATACTATATTGACTGGTAACACAGTTCATTGAAGATCTGATGGTTTCATCATTGCTAAAAAAAAAAAATGGAAAAACACACTGCTAATTGACCTATGACCTGGTAGGTATTTCAGACATGTTAAAATGTAGAAAATATGTGCTCAGAACCAATGAATACAGTAATAGTTGAACCATGAATGTGTTAAAATAAATTTTTGTAATATTGTGAAATATTAGGTTATTATTTTGCAAGAATTAACACAGTACAAATAATACTATATATTTGCATAAAATTTAGTTTATTAAGCTAGTTTTGAAATTATTTGCATGTAAAACACAAAATTTTAAATTTTCTAAACATACTATAAATGTTTATAAATGTTCACACAAGTCAAAATTAGAGAATTGTAAAACAAAATGTTCATCTATTTACATAGTAGTTAAGACCTGACATTTGTAATATGGAGAAGGAAGCTTAAAATCTAGAGATTTCCAAATATTTGAAATTACCATAACAAATCAACTCATTCAGTTTCAAAAAATAAATTTATTATAATTTTATCATTTTATATTAACAAAATGCCTTACTTTTACTTTTGAATAAAAGCTTCTCTGAGCTACCATAATAGCAATTATTCTTCTAAAACCAACTGGAAAAGTTGTATAATTGTTCAGTGAAGGTCTGACCCTAAGGAAAGCAATCTAAAAGGTCATGAATTTCATTCACGCCAAAATATTTTACCTGTCTTTTAGTCTAAGTAATTAATTTCATGGTGTTAACGGTTAAGAATTCTTCAAATAAACACTTCAGGGTTATAACCTCAATTCACTCATACTGGATGATTTAAAAAGTAAAGCACTAAACAAAATCTTTTCAATAATAGGTGTGTTTAAAACAGATATTTTATAGAAGATTATATATGAGCATCTGAATTGCTGAAGTGACTGCAATCTGGGAGGCTTATGTGTTTTATATATATATATGTGTGTGTGTGTATATATATATATGTACACTTTAAGTTCTGGGATACATGTGCAGAATGTACAAGTTTGTTACATAGGTATACACGTGCCATGGTGGCTTGCTGCAATTTCTATCAGCACTTAATTATTTATTAATTAAAAAGCCATAAGAAAAATGCTTATTCATCAAATATATATGTTTATCCCGATCTATATTTAAAGAAAATTAGGCAAAAATGTTCTGAAGATGTGTCAGAAGCTTAACATGCCTAGCTTAAAGTTTCACCATCTGTTGTCTTTTTTAATATTTGAGAAAGTATCACTGTGCTTCATGCAAAGCAAGACAAATTCTATGTTTGGCTGCATTTGATGGCAACCTGAGGGCATATCTCATTCTTCATGTGAGAAAATGCCAACACTCAGACTATAGTATCTGCATTAATACCTATTTCGAAAAAGAAATAACATATTCAGGACACCATTGTGTATTATTTTTTCTTAACATTTTGACTAATTTTTCTAAGATTATCCACTTATTATTTTCATGAAATACATAATCCTTGAATTTGGATACTAAAATCAGCCTTCTTTTCATTCATTTTAGGAAATCACAATGGGATCTGGAAGGTAGTTTCTCACTAATAAACTATGGGAAATTAGAGTTCAACCCAGGACTTGAAATTGTTACCCTCCTTAAGTTCCTATATATTAAAATAATTAAGCAGAAAATGTTAAATACAACATCTTGAACTAATACATGTGTGTTATGCATGCACATGTATATATTTCTATGTACTTTACATGGGTACATGGACTTTGAAAATACAATGTATCAGTAATATCTACCTATTTTCTACTTATCAAATTACTGAGGAAAAATACTGACAAATTTCCTCCTCTCGACCATTTAAGAATGAAGAAAAATAAGAAAATATTTAATTTCACTGTCAATATAATAAATCATTTAATACGTCTACCAATGCCTAATTTTCTTTTCTTTCTTCTTTTTTTTTTTTTTTGTTCCTGAATTGAAAGCAGGGAAGTATGCTGAGGGGGACAGGAGACAGAATATAAGACAACTTCAGAGATCAGAGGGCTCTGAAACTTACCTCTCTGAAACCAGGAGGTCATAACCATTTAATCTCTCAAAATTTTAAGCTTCATAATTTTATAAAGACATTTTTAAGAAAAACAAAAGTACTTTTGTATATATCTTACCAAATTTTACTATTTCTCAATATTTTCTCCTTGTTAAAAACAGCTTTTAAGCATTTTAATACATTAAAATTAGGAGTCAGAAATACATTGGCAAGAATATGTGTTTTGTTTAATTCTGCAAAAGATAGCTGTAGTGACTTTCCTTGCTTGTATGAGGAAGATAGTGGTGATTCGACATAAGCTGTTACTCATGGGGTGAGAAGTAAGTGCTTTACCTATGATTAAATTTAATGAATCAGGGAACTTAGCTATTTTATTTTTCAAGTCCCAAAGTAAACAGCATGCCACTTTTAAAAATATCAATTATAACTTTTTTTCACATGAGAGGAACGAAACTGATAAAGATAAGGGAAATTGTACAATTAATGCTTTTACTTTTAGTAGAAACTTTTAAAAATGTTTCATCTCAAGTAAATTTAAAGAAAAATAATCAATTTTGTGTAACAAAGAGAATGTATGGATATTTGTAAAAGCCCTGGTTTGAAAATATTTCAATAAAATAAAGATATGACTAATTGACCAATGAATTAACCAGTAATACATATATATCTATGTATATATTTAAAAAATTAATTAACTTATCAATTTAATAACAAGGACAAACTATACACGGATAATCTGATAATTTCAAATGTATATATTAAAATTCACCTTCCAATTTATGTGTTCCTTAAAGGAAAATAGCATTTTTATTATTGTTATAGCTCCACAATACGTGGTACAAATAATATGATTGTTAAACGTGAGTTGACTTTTTAAATTATATGCCTAAAGGCAAAGTATGACATAATTAGTTAATAATATGGAACAAAGAAATTGTCAGTAGTCAGTAAATATCCAGGTTTGTCATAAACACAGTTGTCAGAAACTAGCGGGAAAAAATGCTCAATACATAGGCCCCTATGAAGAGTAAATAAAGCAAACATTTTGAGAATAGAAAATAATGATTAAGAATATAAGTAGGTAATATATGTTGAGAAATAAAAACAAAATCCTAAGCCCCCCAACTGACTGAACAGAACCCCTCTTTCCCAAGGGGTCCCCAGAGTAAACTTGAAACCTGAGTTACTGGCAAGGATGAAATGGGAGGTCAGACAGGTTTCCATATACCCCCTTCCTTGCCAGCTACTCTTAGGCTTTCTTCCCTAAGGGCTAAACAGAAACCACCCCTATTGTGAGACTACCATTGATGTCAACCAACTGCCTGATGCTACCCCTCCCTTTTGTAGTTTCAGCACAACAACCAAGCAGCATTTTTTCCTAAGAGTCTATGGACCATCGGGTGGTCATGGCAAGTCTATGGAGACTGTGCAGGAAGGGTTCTCGTATCCTATGCTTCATCATTTGATGTTAGAGGACAGAAAACTCCACACTTGGATTATGCTAACTCTGCCATTTTTTGATCCTGGGTCCCAAGAAGGGGCATGAAACTTGATTGTGCATGTGCACATTTCTCCTGTTATAAATAATCATGACTCCTCCTATAGTTTATTAAATATGTATATGCTGCCACTTTGCTCAGCATTTCTGTTCCCTTTGCCCCTCTCTTGAAGTGTTTGGTTGGCTTCTTGCTGTGGTCTACTTTTCCCAGGGTCTGTTGCTGGCTTCTGGCTGGAAGCTCCAATTCCCAGTCTTTCAGAGTGGCCACCCTGTAGGCTGCAACTCTTTATGAGCAATAAAACTCTCCTTTTCAAATTTATGAACTTGATCATTCTTCAGTTTAAAATGTTGTTGGGAAACAATGGAAGTATAGAAAAATGAGAACAATTAATACACATATGAGATCTATTAATTTAACTATGCTATCAATTATGAACTGTTTTTATAATAAACATTAATGGGCCATTAATGACCTCAAAAATGACATATGATTCAACAAAATCTGCTGGAAAAAAATTTCTAAAGCAAAAGCGTTTCAGAAAAAGAGTAAAATGAAAACAGCTTCTAAATTCACTGCAGTAACAGTCTTCCCACTGAGGCACAATTCACCAAAATGTAGAAAACTCAAATTTAACTAAAAAACAAAATGAAAATGAATAAAGGCAGACTGAATGAAGCTCATTGAAATGCAGCATCAACATTAATACTAAACTATATTTGGACCACATTTTATGTAATTGTAAGAACTTTTATGACAATAATTATTAGGTTGGTACAAAAGTTATTGCATTTTCTGTCATTACTTTTATGGCAAAAAATGCAATTACTTTTTCACCAACCTAATAGATTCTCAAGAAAATTTTATCAGTCCCAATTTTGAGTGATATCAATGTTTAATCTTAAATATTAAGACTGGTTTGTAATTAACCAGATAATGTAATATAATCCATAATTTTGCCTAGGATATCGTCAGTAAAATTATTGATTAATGCTATGGTACTTATTATTTCTGTTTGTATTCTTATGCAAACTAGTTTTATGTATAATTTTATGACTGAAGAAAATAAGACAAGGTAATGTGTGCAACATAAAAGATAATATTTTTAAGGTATTTCCCATTTATTTTAAACTCAAAGGTAAAATGCATGTTTAATTTATGCTTTAATGACTCAGTTACCATAGAAAGAGTTTACTGATTTCTTATGCATGTTATAACATTTGTAACAGAATGTTACTTTTATGTCTTCAGTTTGTAGCCGAGAATTTTGACAATGTTTTAGAGGCTGAGGACAATTAAGTAGGGCCAAGTACCTGATATCCTATAGTGAGTGTCTGGATATTTATGCAGGGTACACTATAAGATTATGAAAGACAACCTGTCAAATTTAGTGAACACCAGCTCTTAGCTTTTAACGTGATCTGAGTTAAAAAAATTAGGAAGGAGAACAATCCTTTATAAATGCTTATGAAATATCTTTCACCCTCTTGTACGGAAGGCTGGAGAATTGCTTCTACCATACATAAGGCTGAGTGAGAGAGGATTTTATCAGGTCTACCTGAACATTGGGTAGCATAAGGAATAATGTGAGAAGCTAAAGCTGAAGCAGCCTGAAGTGTCAGAGCGTCAAGAGACGGTGGGCTGTACTGGGAGTGTAATGGTTAATTTTACGTGTCAACATGACTGGCTGCCCAATTACCTGGTAAAACATTATTTCTCGGTGTGTCTGTGAAAGCATTTCTGGAAGAGATTAGCATTTGAATCAGCGTACTGAGTATAGAAGATCAGCCCTCGCTGATGTAGGCTGAATCATTCAATTTGCTGATAGCCAGATAAAATAAAAAGGTGGAGGAAGGGTGAATTTTTCTCTCTCTTCTTGAGCTGGGGCATCCATCTTGTCATGTCCTTGGGCATCAGAGCTCCTGGTTCTCAGACCTTCAGTCTCCTGGACTTACAGCAGTGTCCCCTACCTTACCCCAACCCAGTCCCCCTCCCAGGTCTTCAGCCTTGGACTGACAGTTACACCATTGGCTCTTCTGGATCTCAGGCCTTCAAACTCAGACTGAATTATGCCACTGGCTTTTCTGGCTCTCTAGCTCACAGATGGCATATTGTGGGAATTCTGTCACCATAAACATGGGAGCTAATTCCCATAAAAAAATCCATCCTATATATGTGTATACATATATCCTATTAGTTCTGCTTCACAAAAGAACCCTGACTCATACAAGGTGCAGACTTCATATTCAGACAGAAGTTGTCACTGGGTATTAGAGAGCAAAGAGTTTGATTGCTGTAGACCAGATGTGGGCAATGCAAGAGAGAGGTTTATTGGTACTGCCTTGACGGGGATATTACACAAGACTTTACCTGGATGGTGAAGTTACAGAGACAAAGGAAAGACTGGTAGAAGATCCAGTGCTGTAGAGAAGCTGGAAGAGGCCAGCTGGAGGAGGAAATAAGTCCACTCCTGGGAATGCATTAGTGACTTACTCTGGTAGAAATATCTCTTAATCATTATGTGATCTAGGAAAAAAGAGAAGAAAAGAAAACACATACCACAATAGGTAATAAAAACGACTATAATTTAATATTTACAGAAAGCAATAGATTACTTTTACAGTTTCTGAGTATAAAATTCAAAACTAAAACACAATTCTGAAAGTTAAGTACAGTAGGAATGTTTTATATACTCGTTAAATTAATGGATAGTTCTTAGGATAATAAGATTTTCAACAAAGCATGTAGTCATGTTTCTTCTTTGTGTCCCACATATTATATTTACTGGGAATGACACTCGCAAGTATATGATGGAACTCACTATATGAATGTTTGCCTTATGAATTTACCTAAGCATTTTGTTACTACTTTTTAAAAACAAATTCCAAATAACTAATAAATCAAGAGAACATAGATATTATTGCATATTTGACTCATTCACCCTTGAATGAACTAAGCAAATTGACAGCCCAGAGACATTTGACATTCAACAATCTCTGAAAAGCTATTTAACTGTTAAATGTTTTAGTCTCACTAAATTTAATCCACCCAGGGCAATGCCCTTTTGACTGTCACAATCTTTACATTTTCCTCCATCAAGTTGAATGATTTTACGTTAATATCACGTTTAATGTAGATCTTCTGAGTGTTTTTTTTTTTATTAACAAGAGACTAAAAGATGTTTTATGCATTGGGATTTCTAATTATGTATTTTCTACATTACTTTGCTTTCTGAAGTTCTTTTCTAAATTGCATCTTGAGTCAACCAAACTGCAATGAAGGTTTTATAGATAATTTTATTTGAACAATATTTTAGAGTAAAATAATTTTGCTCTTGTATGTTTCATGAGCATTTCTATTACAATTTTTACAAGGATAAATTGGTGGTATTGATTTATAATTTTATAACTTATTGATATTTATTTTATAATAACAATATGCACTCCAGTTTATTTTTCTTCAAATTGAGATACATTTTATGTATATAAGAGATGGGGAAAATATCACTGAGATAATAAAAACTATTTTGTAATTCAGAGTTGCAAATATAATCTAAAATATATATGATGATTTCGACTTGAAAATGTTCATAAAATTTTGCTTGTTTACTTTATGAATAAGGCTTCATGTACTTTTTCTGGAATTTAGTCCTTTTGTTTGAGAAAATAAAAAAAGTTATTTGAAAAATATGTTAAAGTCTTAATTAATAATGACAAAAATGACATTACTTTGAAAAAACCTAATTATTTAAAATGTACTATTTTATTTTATGACAGACATACAGGAAAGTTTTACATTGTCATTAAATTTATTTTTTATTTTAATTTTATATATTTAAGGGGTAGAAGTATAGGTTCCTTGCAAGCATATATTGCATAGTGATGAGGTCTGAGATTTTGCTGTACCCATCACTACCCAATATTGAACGCTGCACCCAACAGGCAAATTTTCAACCCTCATTACCCTCTTACTATCCCCACTTTTGTAATCTCCAATGTCTATTATTCTACTCTGTGGTCACTGGGTTTCTTTATCTCCACTTTATATATCCACTTTATCTTTATTGTTTAATAAAAATACAAAGTGAAAATCACTGACCTATCAAACATGAGGAAATTTTGCTAATGTAAAATATTATAAATATAGTTTAATATAGTACATATATGAAAGTTAATCATATAAAATAACTTTTAAATTTTATACACAACTAATAACTCAATATAAATACATGCAGGAAACTAATACCTTCAGATTCTAGTAGATATACTTTTTATATGTCATATATTACTTTGAGTATTTAGTTGTTACCTGAAAGTATAAGCAAAATGAGGCTTGTATTTCTCTGTAAAAACTAATTCCTCTTAATGTTTTTAACATAGTGTTTTCCAAAGAATGTTGTCACAGATGCTCAAGCAGTCATTACATATTCAATTGAAGTTGAAATTATTCAGTCAGCATAGCAACATCTTGTCTGAAACCTTGCTGATCTGTATAAAAGCCAATAAATACTGTATGTAGTGGTATTATCTGAGAAGAGCAATCTTGCCCAGGACACTGAGGGATTATTCCCATCTTCCTTCAAGTGCTTTCATGAAATATTTACTGTTCAGATATACTAGAAGTGAGTTTCAGTTTAGTATCTACTTTCAACCATAGCTGTGTTGATGCATGCATTCGCCTTTCTATGTGAATTTTGGAAATATGACTTGGCTTATAATAATATATCAAGATAGTCAATTACTGATTATAATGAGTGAGGGAAATAAACAATGACATAAATAGTTCTAATTAAATAATTAACTGTATATATGTGAACTTTATTTTACATTATTTAAAATTGAACCCCCAATCTCCATAACATTGGAGACTCAGCAATATATTGATCATAGACCCTGATTAAGAAATGCAGTCCAGATCCAGATGCAGATTAAAAAATAGATAAACCAAAGTTTTTATTCAATGTGAAATTAATCTTGGTAAAAAACATGTCAAAGGTAAACTAAACCAGAAAACTCTGAAATTTTTTATATAGACCTACTTATGCTTACACATATAAACCTATTTATTCTTACACATTATAAACAATTTCTAAACTGAAATAAACAAACATACCTACCTTTCAGACAATTTGAATTGCATATTTACATAAATTTCAATATCCATTTTACTCTCTTATAGAAACTTTTAAGATTTGTTTCAACAACAAGTCAAAAAAGGTTTTATGCTGTTTATAAATATGTAATTGTCTAAATCACATCCGTGATCATAATTGAGTATTTTATTACATTCTAAGGCATTTTGATCCACTTTTAGGAGAAGAGACCCAGTGTTACTCTTTTTTTTCACTGAATCATCTTTTTTGTAAACTTCAGTTACTAAATTTTGCTTTTGCATGTGAAAAATTACAACCCCCCCCCCAAAAAAAAGCCTACTTTAATTTCAAGGTATGACAATACAGCAAGACAACATCTACTTTGGAAATACATAGATTTTTTTTTTTTTGCCTACAGAACATCTGAATTTAAGCCCTATTTATTGCCCCCCACCACCCCAATCAGCTGTCATTTCATTTGATTTGATATCAACTTATTATAACTTATTTTAGAAAAGATAGAATAAAAAGAACTATGCAGAAAAATGAGCACTGTCTTGAGAGCTGAGACAGAATTTTTTGTCTAAAATCATGAACTAACTAGCAGTAGGACTTGAGGCAAGACAAGTGACTGTGATCCTATGAAAAAGAGCAAGTGGAGCTAGATGATAACTCAGATATTCTAGCTATTGGTATTTGTGAAATATGTTTTCCTTTCTTATTCTATGTAAGACACATTAAAAAATTATCAATCATTGACCACACAGAGAGATGCACTCGCACATAGACTTTCTAATGTCTCATAATCCTAATCGCAACTTTTAAAGTGTTTATATTGCAGCCTTTGGACAAGTAGTACACTATTGATATACTTTAATTATAGATTATTAGAACTTTGGTGTAATATAAGGATAATTCTTGATTCTGTTATGATTATAAAGAGGAGAAACACTAGTCATATGTTCTTTTAAGTTATATGTATATGTGTGTATATATAAATATATATATATATTTATATGTATATATATAAATATATACGTATATTTATATATATACATATATATATATATATATATATATATATATATATATATATATATATATACACATTTTGAGATGGTGTCAGGCTTTGTCACCCAGGCTGGAGTGCAATTGCACAATCTCAGCTCACTGCAACCTCCACCTCCCAGGTTCAAGCAATTCTTCTACCTCAGCCCCCCGAGTAGCTGGGACTACAGACATGTGCCACCATGCCCAGCTAATTTTTATATTTTTAGTAGAGACAGAGTTTCACCATATTGGTCAGTCTGGTCTCAAACTCCTGACCAAATAATTTAAAGGATGCTGCCAACAACAAAACATAAACAAAACATTCTTTTCTTGATGATGTTAAAAAAAAGAAATCTCAGTTCCACTGTAGGGAGACCCCCTGAAACTGTTGCTACAGAATAAAAAATGAAATGCTCCTGATTATTGTAAATACAAAATTGCATGCAGGATTGTGTAAAGACAATGACAGGTTGGGCTGCCAGCATGAGCCAACAGCGCATGATGTACTTTCATCTGCGGAGAGCCTATGAACAGATGTGCAGTCAGGGAGGTTTCATATCACCAAGATTCCTATCCCAGAAAAGCAGATGTTCATAGCTCTGGGAATGGAATGTGACCCTTGTGGAGAGCCTATAAATGGATGCATGAGGGGCACCTGTTCATATGGATAAGATAGGGCTATAAATGCCCTCATCTTGCCACAGCTCTTCTAGGCCTCTTTAGGGTGAAGGCATACTCCCTTCTGAGAATTTCTGTTCTAACTGGTTGTCTAGCTTCACATCCTGTTTCTGTGGATTGTTTGTAACCAGCTTTTGCTGCAACTATTACTGCTGATTAATATTTTGCTAATCATAGGTTATGGAAAGACTGTGTTTCTGTTTTAAGGCTCTGTTAGAAATTACTGATGCACACACTATATTGTAAATTCTTATCTCTGTATACTGTACTTCTGCATACAGATGTATGTTAAAGAATTACTTCATCCCCATGTGACCATCTCACCTCATAATCAAATGACCCTAAATCCCTCACTAACCTACCCCCACCCTCACTAAACATAATAATAAATGCTGGTATATCCAGTGCATTGGCAGCATCGCAGGACCAGAAGGCGATGACCCCTCTGGACCCAGCTTTCACTATCTTGTGTGTGTCTATTATTTCTCAACCTGCCAGTCCACCTGGGAACAAACAAAGAGCCCCATTGCATTGCGGGAGGCTGGCCAGATCCCGCAATATTCCACAAATGTATGTCCTCTCTTGACCAATTAGGTCATATTTAATTTGGATGCACATATAAAATTTAAGGAATGCATGTGGAACATTGTTTAAAGAGTAAGAATATTTCTGTTATGGCACAATTTCTATTTATATCCCATTATTACAAAACTTACATGATATCCTTCAGCAAGTAATAGTCTACCAAATTCAAAAGCTTCAGGTTTATTTATGATAAGCTTCCCAGACAGACTGGGGACATTCTGTCAAATGCATTTAGTAGATAAAGACTTCCTGTTATCTTTTATTCAAGTATTTTTACCAGGATATCTGTCTTCTATGATAAAGTTAAGAAATAGGTTTTAAGCCTGTTGAACTATTTTCTTCCCAGTTACTGATTAATTTATTAATTAACATGATTGGTCCTGTGGAAAAGTATAAGGATTGATTATCAGAGTGAACTGAAAATCTGGGACAATATTTGTCCCATGTCATGCTCATCAAGAACACCCACTATCAGTAAGGTTCTCCATAATCAATTAGACAATATGACCTATTTAGTGGATATCAATAATCCCTTCATGTGCTTGTCAAAGTTCTCTCAAACAAAGTGGCCATGAGGGCAGTGGTAAAGATTATGTATGAACTCAAAACCAGAAATCTCTTTTTATCAAAAGACACAGACAAGCCAATACAAAAGAGTGCCCAATCTGCCAGCAGCAGAGACCAATATGGTGCCCAACATAGAAGAACCCGTATGGTGGTCTACCTTAGAAGAACTAGCTACAAGGAGAAAGGTTGATTTTCCCGAACCACGTTTATCATGGTAAGGGAAAACAATTTGCCTTCACTGGAATGACACATATTCTGGATAATGATTTCCTTTCCCTAGACAATATATTTCTGTCAGAAAAAAAAATTCTTACCAAGTGCTATATCAACACTAAAAAAAAAAATTCTTACCGAGTGCTATATTGATACTAAAGGTATCCCATTAATTTTGTTTCTAAACAAAGAACTAAAACAAGTAAAAATGAGGTACTAGGCTATTATTCATGAGTTTCAGTCACATTAACACATTTGCTGAGTACATAATGATAAACGTTATGCAATACCTTTTAACTGACTTCAAAGTAGTACCTTAGTAGAATAATAGAATAGCTTACTGAGGACCTTTTTGTTTTTCTGTGTTAGCTGAGACCATGATCTTGGGATATTCGAATTTTGGCCTGCAAGATGCAGCATATTCTGAACCATTGGCCTTTATAAAGTGTTATTAATCTTCTATAGCCTGAATATAAGAGTCTAAGTAGCAACGTACACAAGTAACTTTCTTTTAAGTGTGCCGGTTCTCTAACTTTGTCACTTCGAGATCTGTTGTCTAAGAGGTCTTACTATCTATTGAACAAATGTCTCCAAATGTGGTAGACCTGTTCATTTTGACTTCTCCTACCAGTGAGCCAATAGCCAAAAAGTTAAAATAGTGCCTAGTGTAATTAAGCCTCAGGTGACAAAGCAGAATAAAAAGTGGTTATCATGAACTCTGTAGCTGAACTGCATGGGTTTAATTTCTAGCTGTATAACCATGAGCAAAGTTACCTAATATTTATTTCACAATTTTCTCATCTATACAATTTGATTACTAATAGTTAAATTTCCAAAGCTCTTTGAAAAGTACCTGTTACATAATAAGTGATACATACATGTTTACTTCTAGTAGTAGTATTAAAGTGAAATAATGTTGCTCCAGTTGGGGAAGTAAGGAGTATATGTATGGAACCCAGGAGGTCCCCTGGGATGCAGAATACAATGATAAATAATCGCAGTCAAATACAGACAGGACCACCAAGCTTCAGACCATTCAGGAATAATGCTTGAATTATTCTAAAAGGGAGACAAATAATACCTCCACATCTAAGGTTCTGAGAATATTTGAAGTATAGTGGAAATAGAGGAAGAAAATTATAAACATATTATATCTATTTATGATGAATAGCAAATAAAATCTCAAGTAGTGTTCCATACTTTAATGCTTGCTTCCCTTTTTCCTTTCTCACTCTTTCTCTCCCTCACTCCCTCCCCTTCATGCATACTCTCTTTTCAGTACACTGTCATGCTCTCTCTGTGTTCTGTTCTCTCTTTTACTGTTTCTATTTTACATTATCATCAGAATTTTCATTCTTGTATTTTTCATCACTTTTACCAATTTATTTTATTCTCTCTTTTTAATCTGCAATTTAATATAGAATGGGTTATTTATAGATTAATTTATAATTAAATACATTGGTGAACTTACATCAAGAAGGACATCTGAGTAAAACAGAGGAAGAATGATTGTGTTGCCCTTATTGGTGGGGCCATTATGCAAATAAAGAGGAATGTTGATTGCAATTGCAGAATGTAGCACTCTAGATGAGTGACCCATGGGATTAAAAAAAAAAGACCGGGATTTTATGCATGCAATGTTGAGGGAGAAAAAGGACCAACCTTTATGACTTTCTTCTTGGGCAGCATGTCCAAGTATTTTATAAACTTTCAAATCCATTCTTATCAAGAACAAGAAAAAGAGAATATTTCTTTGCTATCAAGTCAAACATTGAGCCAAGTGCTTAATACCTTACTTGAGGAAAACTTATTAAAACTATATGTAATGTATTATCATTCTTATTTTTACAGATAAGAAATAATTCCTAGAGTATGTGATTTAATTTTCCCAAATGTCATATACCTAGAGAAAGGCAAAATTTGTTCAACCAAATTCAAATTAAACCCAAGGCCCACGTGTCATTTTTCTACTCTGCCATGCTTCCTTAAGGGATGTGAAATTAGTTGAGCATGATATTAAGAGGATAGTATAATTTTAAACATCATGTAGGAAACTAGAAGAAAGGCATCTTAGGGCAGAATAAATACTATGAATAAAGGCATTTAAATTTTAAAATTTCCAAATGATCAGCTAGATATAAAAAGTTATTTATGGTTAGAGTTTAGAAACATGAAAGGCAAATGAATTTGGATATGTGGTTTGGTGATTGTGAAGGCATGATATGTTTAGATTTAATTAATTTATCCTATTGGTAGTGGGAAATCAGCAGATTTTTTAAGTCTAAAGCTCAACTGTGTGTGTGAATATACTAGCTAATCATGTTGTAAGAAAGAGTGTGAGTAAGAATATATCTTGGTAATCAGAAATCTAGACTGTATATGGTGGAAAAGCAGATCTTGCATCTTGTTATACAGGAGAATGACAAAAATACTATTTTCAAGCCTGAGAAGTAATTCAACGTTTTTTAAAAAATAGTTCATAAATTCATTACATTGCTTCCTATAGATAAGTGAGTCCATAAAGAAAGCAATGGATTCTCATTTCTTGTTCTTAATCAAATAGAGAGTAATCTCTCCACTAAACACGTTATAAGACTTTTTCACCTGTGAACAAACAGGCAGCGTAACTTGAGCGGGAGTCCAAGGATAATACATGTAGAAGATATTTACTTGTCTTTGAATATCACCAACTCTTTTTTTTTCTTTTTATTGTGCTATCAGAAAGAAAAATTAGTGGGTGACTATTTTCTGAATTTTAATTTCAAATGTAGAAATATTTTTACATTTAAACGTTTCTTTTTTTTGGTAAAAGACATTTTGAATAATATACCTATTTATAATGCTAAGCATTTTGACAGAAAGGGCAGGTTAAATAGATTGAATCCTTGTTTTCTTTTTCATAAAAGAGCTAATAAATTTTTAAACAAAGTCCTGTCAGTGTTCTGATTCCTTTCCTACTTTCACTTAGAGTCAGGGGCATTTTTACTTCTATTATTTTCCCTAATATTATATTGAAACTTCATATTGAAACATTTTTTAACTCCTTTATTTTGCATATTATTAAAATTAATTTTTGTTTTCTAAGCCTTCGTTTCTCAGATTTTAGTAATTTGTGGATGGTTAGAAAAAAAGACACAAGTTAAAATATAGCACTTAGATAATTTGATGTAATTTAATGTTTTAGAGCAGATATCTACTTGGCATTGATTTAAAGGGAACTCGCACCATCAGGACTTGAAAGTAAATTCAGATAATGGTGAGGGGGATGTTTGAAGTCAGGAAATAATTTTCAGGCTACTGAGAAGTTGTGGCAGTGAAACACATTTTGCACAGGAGAAAAACAAAACTCCAGAAACTTTGCTGAATATTAAATTACTGTGCTATATCCTGAATATCATGTGTGGTATTATCGTGGCACTTGCCTTCTTTATATCCATGTCCCAATCCCTGGAACCTGTTAATATATTACTTTACATAACATAAGAGATGTGCAGATACAATTAAGGATTCAGGTCTTAAGGTGGGTAGATTATACTAGATTATCTAGCTAGATCAATTTAATCACACAAATTCTTTCCAGGGAGAACCTGCAATGAGAGAAAATTTGATGACTGAGCAAGATGCAGGAAAGATTTGAAGTGTGACAGGGAGGGACTCTTGATTTGGTACACTGGCTTTGAAGATGAAGGAAGGATCCATGAGCCGAGCCAAGGCATGTAGGTGGTATCTAGAAGCCAGCAATAACTCTCACCTGACAGCCACCCATGACATAGAGACCTCGAGTCCCACAACTTCAAGGAACTGAAATCTGCCAATATCCTAAAGAAGCAGGGAAATTTATTTTCCCCTAGATCCCTAGAGAAGAATACAGCCTTGTAAATATCCTGATTTTTGTCTGCAAGACTCACACTGGGCTGCTGATGTACAGAACTGTAGATAATAAATTTTTGTTTTATATGCTGCTAATTTATGGCAATCTGTTAATGAAAGTAATCTAAAACTAGCATATATGTTAAGGGGGTAGACTTTGTTAAAATTAGACAACTGGAGACTTTGAAGTTTTTAGAATGTTAAAATAGTAAAATCAGAGCTCTTTTTAGAAAATGTGAAACATTTTTATTTTCTTAAACAGCATACATTCCACTGATCTGCCTTCCTAAACAAACCCTTTAATTCATGTGTCTCCTTCCCCCATTGCAGTCCATAAACTGTCATGTCAGGGTCATCTCCATAACTCAAGAGTAGACTTCTTAACTTTTCTCATAACTGATTCATATAAATGAGCAGAAAATCCAGTTCTTCCTGTGAAATTGTAAGAGGTATGCAATAGGCTTCTAAGAAGATTTTCTAGGTCTTCAGGGTGAGAAATTTTTCAAGGAATGTGAAAGGAACAGAATATAGTCTTAATTGCTACTGATAGCCACTTGGTGAACATCATGGAAAACACTCATAATTATATTGATGTTATAAACAAGAAAATGGAGTGAAGGAAATAATGTGGATCCTCAATGACATAGTGCAGCCCATGGGGAAACAACCTCATTTGATGCTTCTTATACCTTTGAATTTCTTCTTAGATGCCTGAATAACTAAACTCTCCTATTTGTAATTTAAGCCATTTTTATTGATGCTGCTCTTTTTTCCAGATTTAAGTATTCTGGAAAAGAAATATTAGCAGGAACTAACTGGGGATATTAAATAATGACCAAACTAGAGATACCAGTTAGTCATAGTAAAACACATTACAATGATCCCAATTGAATACTTAAAATAGCCTCTTCTAAAAATTGTTACTGTTTGTATAAACGTATTATTCCCACTGATTTCTCCTTTATAATGAGTACAATAGTGTTAGTTTAAGCAATTATATCTGTTGTTATAGATTTCTGGTATATCTCCCTCTGTCCCACAAAGTTAATGCTGTTCTGAAAACACTTCTTAATAGATTTCACAATCTTTCCTGACATGAAAAGAATAATTACAATTTTTGTGGCTTCTCAAAATACCATTTGGATTTTACTAATGTGAAAATTTTAAGAACATAGATACTGGTAACAGTACATATAATTTGTCTAATTGTTTTCTAACTGAATATTAAGTAATTTAACTCTTGAATCTGACCTTGAGCTATAAGTATATTAGATCTATTAGAACAAGTAAGTCTAGAACATCCTACAAATTCACCATCCTTCAATGTAATATCTAGATACATTTGCACTAAAACAAAATTGTAAACAAATACATATTTAAATATTATTTTGTAAAATACCAATGTAGGCATTACAACATTTTTCTCTAACATATTTTTTCAAGACATTCATCAGAGTGCACAACATTATTAAGCTTCCTGCAGTTAATACACTTACATTCTTGCAAAATAGCTATCAAATTATATTTTGATATGTTTAAAATTTAGAAGGTATAATACAGAAGAAAAATATGAAAATATAAAGATGTTTCAAATAATTAGAAGGAGAAAAATCTGAAGAGTTTTGTATTTGACTTGATACTAAACTTAACAGTCTGTAATTTTTTTTTCTAAATGACCTATTATCCCTAACTCAAATTTGAATATGAGAAGAAGGAAGTGCTGCAGAAAGAGAATAGAAAAATAGGGCAAGATAAAAAAAAAAAAAAGAAAGAGAAAAATAAAGAAAATAAACATGCGCCTCTTCATCTGATTATATTGCTAAAGATTTTATGTAAAAGGACTTTTTTTCAATTTATTCCTATTTTAGAGCTACTCCCTTTACAGATCAATTATCTGATATTTGATCCTTATTGTATTCAGTATTATTTATTCTTGTATTTCCAAATTTAGCATTCGAATTTACAAAAACTTTTGCATTTGTTCTGATCTACTTGTATGTCTGGGTTCATAAAAATCAACAAATTTTTTAGTTGTGCTATTATTACAAAGAAGAGTATATATATATATATATGTATCTATATATATGAAAGCACTCTGAATATCTGTAATGTTTGTTTATCTCCTTGGAAATTAATGATGAATTTCTTTCTTCTCAAAACGATGGTCATGAAACCCAGAGCCTAAGAAAATTATCAATATCTTATCTAAATTAAATCTTTTTTTCTCTTATGATTCA
This sequence comes from Homo sapiens, assembly GCF_000001405.40. Classification (NCBI taxonomy): domain Eukaryota; kingdom Metazoa; phylum Chordata; class Mammalia; order Primates; family Hominidae; genus Homo; species Homo sapiens. The sequence goes on along the minus strand of NC_000004.12, from coordinate 132,301,436 downwards.
ACTTCTTCTTGGTGAGTATTCAATTATTATCATGAATTTATTGTTTTCTTCGGACTATAAAAACATTTACAAAATTGAAAGAATTACTCAGAAGAAAGTCATTTAGCAACATATTCAAAGGTAAAAAATATAAGAACTGGTGTGAGAACAGAACAAAGGTAAGAAGGAGAATTAGAAATTCATGGAAGAAGTGTCTCAGGATACTACAAGAGCAAGGGATATTTCTAAAACTAGTAGAAAGTGGAGAAAGCCTCAAGGCTATCTATATATAAAGCGTGAGAACAAGCATTGTTTAATATATTAATTTACTGGTACTGGCTACATTTTTAATAATTAAAACGAAAATTGAGTTGTCATTTTGTATTCTAATATTGATATAAAAATGCATAGTAATACATAAATAATGACAAAAGACATAATGTATGCATGTAAAAATGACAAAAAAAAAATAATGTATGTATGTCTTTTGTGAGTTAAGATTTACTTATACCTCCTCAAAATCATATATTGAAGTCATCTTGCATTGTTGATGTCAGATTATGCAGTGTATACTTCTTTGTAAACACTCTTCTCTAATCATGTAATTCTTAATGTTTACAGGTCAATAATACACTATGAAGTCTATGATAAAATAATTAGATGTCCTGTTAGGAATTATAAATGAACTTTTCATTCTAACTAGTAAATCAATTAAGACCTTTAATAATTTCTCCCACCACCAGAATATGACCAGAATATGACTGCAGGCATGTAAAGGAAAGAAAGTTACTATATTCTATCCATTTTTTTACAAATTACTGTAAGTAGAAAAGTCTCTGAATTATAAGAACAAAAGAAGACAAAAATTACATACATTTATTAGTATTATTTTAACAAAATATGGGATTACTAAGATAATAGAGACATTTTTAGTAACATCTAAATTTTTACGTAATATGAAATGACAATAACAAAGGACAGATGGTTTTAGTACTACAAATAATAAAGTTTTTCAATACCCATTATCAAATTATGTTATAATTTGCATAACTCATAAATTAGTTATGTAATGTTTTCAATCACTATTCAACATAGGATCTTCCTTTTATTCAAAATCACGGTGAACATTCTTAAACAGTTAAGTATAAATCTAAGTTAACTTCTTCAATTATTGCTAATGAAAAAATGTTAAAACATATATATCACTTGAAGTTTGGAATGCTTTTTTAGACACACTTTGTATATTTGGAAACTGTATTTCATAATATGACTTGTTTGAAATGGATAGCTAGATTTCCAACAGCTGTACCAATGTTGAGAATAGCTAATAATAAAAGGACTTCTTGGCAAGCTACTTCTCCTGTTAAATGGTGAATGCAATGTGCTTGACATTTGTAATTTAAGTAATTTGGAAGAAAACACACTACTTAGCCAGCTGTAGATTTCACCATTTCATGTTAAGATTATAATCCATTAATCAATTTATAGACATAAACACTGTTGTTCAAAGTAATAAGAATTTAAACACACTGTAAGCAATAAACATGATTAAAACAATAGTCTACGACAGTCATGCATATGCCTTCCAGCTGTTTGGTGAAATTACTGAAGCATACAGACAAAGAGCTAATACCATGTTTAGTTTTGTTTATTGAAATAGTGAAAGTGTGTTAATGAGAAAGTACAAAAATACATAATAGAAATTAATGTACTGTGAAACAAAATTTTGTTCAAAAATAAAAATGAGTACAGTATAAGCGTAATACTTTAAATGAACATTGCATAACATACATTTAACAAGTATTTGATCATTTTTATGTAAGTGTATCTGTAAATTATACACCATGAAAAATGACAGCAATATGCTCAAGATTGACTAAGCCTACTGTATGGGATTAAATTAATTTTACACAATATTTAAGAGCTACTTTGTATAATCACAGCAAACAGGAATGTAAAAACATCTGTATACACTGAACTTATTCTTTTCAATGTTTATATCCACGTATCACTTTTAGTCTCACTCTTGCTTAGTTAATTCTTACAACTAATTATTTCATGAAATTCAAATGAAAATAGCCCCTGAGTATCTCATGTATAGTATATAATTCATAGATATTATATAGATTATGCACATATAAACTTAAAAATAATATCATTACACCTTATATATTAGATGCTATTGATAAAAATATCAGAGGTTACTAATTGTAATGTAATATAACATTATACATTAATTACACTATACATTAATATTGTCTATGATATAAATAGCTTTATAGTTTTCAAAAGTACAATACCATAAATATATAAACCATCATTGCAAAATATATTATCTTACCAACAGATACATCTTAATGATAAATAAAAAAGGCATACAATGTTATCAGTATTAACAGTTAAATAATATTTGGATATTGTTTCAAAAAGACTTTCAGCTGAAGTAATTTATGAATTTATACAGCAAAGATGTTTTTTATTCTCACTGTTTTGTATTTAAATTAGTATTTGATAAACATTAACATTTTAAAAGTATATGCTGGTACTAAAGCATAGAATATAACCATGGTCTCTTTGTTTCTAATAAATGTTCAAAATACAGTAAACATAAATAAATTTTTTACGTTGTTAAACTTGAATTTAAATGTAAAACTTTCTTATGAAGATTGTGTATTAAAAGCTATAACGACCTTTTGGAGAGAATTATTAGGCATGGATAAGAGTAAACATACTTCAAAATAAATGTCCTTACTGAAGTGACCATTTTATCTTGTTCATACTAGACTTTCGATACATCTTTACTGAATTATGAAAAGAATGGATGTATTCTGAATAAAATGATGAGTTGAGAAAATACTAATCTCAATGGTAATTATAAAATTGGGTGTGTATGTAATAAATGATAAAAATCTATATGTTTAAAATATGGTTCATGCTTCATCACCAGCTTTATTTATTTTCTAATAATTTCAATTCTTATTTCAGACTAAAAGGGGTACATATGCAGGTTTGTTACCTGGGCATATTGAGTGATGCAAAGCTTTGGGATACAGTTAATCTTGTCACCCAGGTACTGAATATAGTATCCAATTGTTAATTTTTTAAATCCTTGTCCCCACCTCCCCTCTAGTAGTCCCCAGGTTTCTATTGTTGCCATCTTTATGTTTGTGAGCATGCATTGTTCAGCTCCAGTTTATGTCAGATTATATGGTATTTGGTTTTCTGTTCCTGCGTTAATTCACTTAGGATAATGGCCTCCAGTTGCATCCACATTGCCGCAAAAAGCATGATTTCATTCGTTTTTATTGTTCTATAGTATCCTATGGTGTATATGTACCGCATTTCTTTATTCATTTCCCCCATTGATGGGCACCTAGGTTGAGTCCATGACTTTGCTATTGTGTATAGTGCTGTAATGAACATAAAAGTTCAGGTGTCTGGTTGAACTATTTATTTCCTTTTGAAAACACATCCAGTAACAGGATTGCTGGACCAAATGGTAGCTCTAAGTTTTTTTGAGGAATCTCCATACTTCTTCCTCAGTGGCTCACCAGCATCTGTTTTTTTTTGTTTTTTTTTTTTTTGACATTTTAGTAACAGCCATTTTTATTGGTGTTAGATGGTATCTTACTGTGATTTTGACTTGCATTTCTCTGCTGATCAGTGATGTGGGACATTTTTTTGTTTCTTAGCTGCTTGTATGTCTTCTTATGAGAAGAATCTCTTCATGTCTTTTGCCTACTTTTTAATGGAGTTATTTGTATTATGGCTTACTGATTTGTTTAAGTTCCTTATAGGTTTGAGATATTAGACCTCTGTCGGATGCATGCATTCAGTTTGTGAATATTTTCTCCCATTCTGTAGATTTCCTGTTTACTCTGTTGCTATGCAACAGCTCCTTAGTTTAATTAGGTCCCACTTGTGAATTGTTGGTTTTTGTTGCAATTTCTTCTGAGGAGTTTGTCATAAATTCTTTCCCACAGCTGATGTCCAGAATGCTGTTTCACAGGTTTTCTTCTAGGATTCTCATATTTTGAGGTCTTACATTTAAGTATTTAATTCATCTTGAGTTATTTTTTATATACAGTGAAAGGAAAGAGTCCAGTTTCATTCTTCTGTATATGGCTAGCCAGCTGTCTTAACACCATTTATTGAATACGAAGTCTTTTCCCATTGCTTATTTTTGTCAACTTTGTTGAACATCACATTGCTGTAGGTGTACAGCTTTATTTCTGGGTCTCAATTCTGTTTTATTGGTCTGTGTGTCTGTATTTGTATCAGTACTATGCTATTTTGTTTACTGAAGACTTGTATACTTTGAAGTTGAGTAATAAATTGCCTCCAGCTTTTTTGTTCTTATGACTACGTTGACTATTCAGACTTTTTGGTTTCAGATTAATTTTAGAATAGTTTAATCTAGGTCTATGAAAAATTTCCTTGATAATTTGATAGGAATAGCATTGAATCTGTAGAATACTTTGAGCAGTGTGGCCTTGTTTTTACATTTGTTTGTGTCATCTGTTATTTCTTTCAGCAGTGTTTTGCAGTGCTCCCTGTAGAGATCTTTCATCTTTCTGATTAAATATATTCCTAAGTATTTTCATTTTTTGTGGCTATTTTAAGTGGAATTATGTTCTTAATTTAGCTCTCAGCTTAAACGTTACTGGTATACAGAAGTGCTACTGATTTTTCTACATTGATTTGTTCCTGATACTTTACTGAAGTCTTTTATCATTTCCAAGGGCCTTTTGGTGGCATCTTCAGCATTTTCTAGGTATAGAATCATACACCAGCAAAGAGTTTGACTTATTTTCCTATTTGAATGTCCTTTATTTCTTTCTCTTGCCCGACTGCTCTGGCAATTGTACGGGACTTCTTATATTATGCTGAGTAGGCGTGATAAGAGTGGGCATTCCTGTTTTATTCCAGTTCTCAAGGGGAATGTTTCCAGTTTTTGCCCATTCAGTGTCATGTTGGATGTGGGTTTGTCATAAATGGCTCTTAATGCTTCTTCAATGCCTAGTTTCTTGATGATTTTTATAATGAAAGGATGTTGGATTTTACAGAAAGCTTTTCCTGCCTCTATTGAAATAATCATTTTTTTTCTTTTTAATCCTGTTTATGTGGTAAATCAGTTATTGAATTTGCATATGGTGAATCAACCTTGCATCCCAGGAATTAAGCTGAATTAATCATGATAAATTAACTTTTTGATGTGTTTCTTGATTCAGTTTGTTAGTATTTTGTTGTGGATATTTGCATCTATGTTCATTGGAGATATTGGCCTGCAGTTTTCTTTTTGTTGTGTTTTTGCCAGGTTTTGGTATAAGGGTGATGCTGGCTTTGTATTTTGAGTTAAGGAGGAGTCCCTTTTCCTTGACTTTTTAGAATAGTTTCAGTAGGATTGGTACCAGTACTTCTTTATACATCTAGTAGACTTCGGCTGTGAATCTGTCTCATCTGATGGATTTTTTGGTTTGTAAGTTAAATTTTTTATTACTAATTTAATTTTGGAACTTGATATTGCTTTGTTCTGGGTTTAAATTTCTTCTTTATTCAATCTTGGGAAATTATCTGTTTCCAGGAATTTATCAATTTCCTCTAGAATTTTTAGTTTGTGTGCATAGTCATAATAGTCTCATAGGATCTTTTGTATTTCTGTACAATCAGTTGTACTGTCATCTTTGCCATTTCTGAATGCGTGTATTTGGATTTTCTCTCTTTTTCTTTCTTTGTTAATCTGGCTAGAAGTCTATCAAGTTTGTTTATCCTTTCAGAAAACTTAGTTTTGTACTTTTTGGTTGTTGATTCTTTGTATGGATTTTTGGGCCTTAATTTCATTCAGTTCTGCTCTGATTTCAGTTGTTTCTCTTCTTCTGTTAGCTCTGGGGTTAGTTTGTTTTTGTTTTTCTTTTTTCTCTAGGCATCACCAGCTTTAAAATAAACAAATAAACTCAAATTTAACAAGCAAAGTAAGACTAACAAAAAAGTTGAATCTCTGAATAAATATCAAAAGTAATACTATTCTTTAAAAAATTTACTCCTTAATATTATCCTTAGAATGGGAATAAGTCAACCCCTACCTACACTTGATATTTCAACATGTGTTTTACATTAATCCAGTTTATTAAATTTTCTGAGGCAGGAAAATGTTAAGAGCAACAAATTGACAATTAAGGTAGTTGAAAAAAGTTTTAGGAAAATGAGTAATCATTTTATTAAGAGTGACTGTGAAGTGTATATATTTTTTGTAGGACCTGTTAAATAGCATGAACAAGTCTTAAAAAAGAAAAGAAAGCAGTAAAGTAGAAAATAAACTCTTAAAAGTGGAAAATGTATAGATTTTTTATTTTTGCATATATAGATTTACTCTTCTTTACTGCTACTTATTACTTTCACGCACACCTTCTATATTAACTTAATTTTGTTTATAATATTCTAAAGTGAATTATTAGTGAGAAGTATTCCATTTCATCTTCTCCTTTCAGGTGGGAAGTCTAAGCATCAGGTATAGTGACAGGACTAAAGCCAAGATGCTCTTCAGTTGGGTCTTTCCCATTAACAGGATATTTCTGCCCCTTCCCTTTCACTCAAACATGGTCTAAGCATTGGAGATGGGGTTAGGGGTGGAGGCTTGCATGGCAAATACTCAGATTAGTTAATATAAAAATACATTATTTGCTCTACTGAATAAATGAAAACTCTCCTGAAAACTAAAAGTGCAGAATAAACAATGAAAAATGCTGATATTTTCCTCCTACTCGCTTTTTGACATCCCTTTCTGGGATATTGGGTAGTTTGGTGCCTCACCAGGGAGACAAAAGAGGAAGAAAAGGCAGACAAGGAGTCCCTGACGGCATATATAGGATACCTTAGGATACCTCTATATTACTAAAAACTATTATGCTGGTTTGTCCAGTCCCTAAACGTCTCCTAAGACTAATTTTGGGTTTTGCATCTTCCCAGCAGCTTCTTAAAACACTGATCAAGAGGCAGCAGTCTCAGCAGCTAAATTTCTACAATTTTCTATAGTCCTATTATTGGATCTATCATCTTGATTACAACTAATTTTTTATATGAATGTTTCCCCAAGTAGATTTTCAGGACAGACACAACATCTTATTTGATCCCTAGGAACAAGAAATGGATAAAAATTACATTAAAAACTCACTAAATATCTATAGGTTAAATTGATGAATACATAAATTCCTTTTGACCTTCAAGAATAAAGTAAATAGATCAAGGAGCATCATAGAGAAGCTTATTGTAGAAAAAGAAAACATAACATATAAAAATCTAATTGAATTAAGCATTTCATGCAGGCTGGAAGCATTAAAAGTTTAATAATGCTGTTATAAATTAATCGTTTCTTGCTGTAGTATTGCATCTAAAAGCTATACCACCACTGTGTCTGGCAGTTTTCAACACAATCTCAAGCAGGTTAGTTTAATTAAGCCATAAAATTTTTCAACACTTCAAGTTTGACCATGGCAAAAATATATCTCCAATAAGAACTTTCAGATCAATTGACTAAAATTCTGTAGTTCCTTGCCACGGGAAAAAAAAAATACATACAGTTTGTGGAAAGCTGTTTTAGTATTTTAAAAAGGTCTTTTCCAAAATTAAGTATACCAAAAAGTATAAGACTTCAATTTTAATAAGATTGGTCAAGCTTGCATAAATTGTATTTGTTTTGTACCCATAACTGTGAATTTCACTTATTGAAAATAACAGTAAGAAGTTAATGTGTATTTGCCAGTGGGTGAACTTGCTGCAGAGTTTGCATCACATTCATACTTTACACTTCCTGAGGGTGCAGAAAATCTTAGCATTCAAGATGAATATGTCCTTTGGCTCACCATTCAGTTACAGAAAGAAGAAAGAAAAGGAGAAAGAATCTTATAACAAGAAGAAAAATAAAAAGTTTATCATTCATCAGAAAAACGTGTGCTATTAGAAGAGGCCAGTGACCTACATTTCAGTTAGATTGAAAATAAATAAGACTATCTTTACAACAGAACACATTATGTGCAGATAAAAGATGAGGCTTTAAAGATCAAACTGACATTATTATATAAAAAATAATATTGAACATATATCATTTCTTATAAAGGCAAATGTAGTTTTAAACATGGTTTAAAGAAATAAAAATTAAATAATAATATTGTATACAGAAAAAAATTATATATTTATTAGACATTCTAAACGCCACTTAAAAATGTACACATGATCCTATACTGTATAGTTCATTTGTCCTGATTCATTTCTCTGTGAGACAGATGTTGAAATTACCTTTTGGCATATGTTGTGCTGATTATATTTATTTTTCCTAGGGAAGATATACATTAGGCAACTACTATTCTATGTTTAGAACATAATCTGTGTCTTTAATACAATATAAGTATATATTGTGTACCATCTCCTCTCAAATTATAAATAAGACCTTATTTTAGTATTTTATTCTGATAGTTGATAGAAAATATTTTCTATTTACTTAATTCACATAAATAGGATTAGGTATATGTTTAACAAAAATAGTTGCTACCAATGCTGACATCTCTTTTGATGGTTATAAATCATAGAATTTTATTTTTAAATGTAGAATGTGGCAATGTAATTATCATTTATTTTGAATGGTTTGATACATGAATGTGACTGTAATTTATTTCTAAGAAATTGAAAGTAAGAGAAATGAGGTTACTTTCTGAGGATTAAATATTGAAATCTATAAAAGGCAGATATGATTTTATAGTTATAAGAGTAAATTTATATTTGGTAAAGGTATGATTTAAAAATTTGGAAATACCTAAAACTAGAAGTAACATTCTGAAATTAATTTCAATAAGTTATGATGCATTAAGTAGAAAATCTATCATTATTTTTACTGTATTTCTGTAAAATCACATGGAACATAAATATGATAAGATTAGAGTATAGGTAAAGAAACAAATAGAAAAATATATTGACTATCTTTGCTTTCTCTCCTCTATTATTTGAATATATTCATTTTTACTGACTCCTCAGCAATTATACATGCATTTATGCCCCAATTAAGTGAAAACAAAACAAAATTTCAAACTGTCAAACCCATGTTCTCTGCATATACTACTGAACTTTCTCTTTTCTTTATGGATCCTTCTTGGGAAAAAATTTACATTAAAATCAATAGATACTGAGCTTTTACTTTGCTTCTACTAACTGTTGTAAGTCCTTGACACTTATCACTTAATAACATAGATAAAAACATACAAATATATTCTAGTGGATGAAACTAAACATTAAAAATAAACAATTACATATTATATTAGATTGTTCAAAGTACAACAGAAGGTAAGAAATTGGATATGTGATGAAAGCAGGTTGCAATTTGCAATAAGGAATCACAATAGGCTTATAAATATACCATATTTGAGTAAGGATTTCTAGGAAATGAGGAATTTAGTTGTGTTGTTATCTTTAGGAAGAATATTCTAGGCATAGAGAACCACCTGAAAAAAGCAGAAAGCAAGAATATGGTTAGAGACTTGGAGCACAACAAGGTAAGCAGAATGTATAGGCTGGAATGAATCATGAGGCTAGGAAAAAATGAGCAGGGTAAAATCTGAACCAGGTATTGCAGGGCCTTGTGCGCCTTCATTACCTGATGGGTATGTATTTGGCTTTTACTTTGAATACTTGCAGGGTATTTGGCTTTCACTTTGAATGAAATAGGAGTTCCTGAGCAGAGAAGTTACGTGATTGATCACCTTTTATGATGATGAAGCAATGATAGAATAAGAGAGTCAAAAAAGGAAGGCTTTGGGCAATCATGTCCATACATATAGTTGCCAGAGCTAATGGTCAAAACAATCAGGTGAAGAGAAGTGGTCGGATTCTGGAATTATCTTGAAGACAGAACAAACAGTATTTGTGCATTGATTGGGTGTTATAAATGAAAGAAAAGAAGAATCAGGAATGCCTCTAATGCTTTCCTCTGACCGGGAAGTTAGATAGCGTTTTAATCAACCAAAATGGGGAAAACATTAGTGTAACATAGATTTGTCATGGAAGGTGTTGAGTTCATTATTGAATAGTTAATTTTAAGGTATAAATAAATAAAACAGGAAGTTGAAATTAAATGTGTAAAATTTTGGAGTGGTATTGGAAATTGTTAGAAAAATTAGAATATGACATATAGATGTTATTTAACAATTAGATGAGGTTCCCATGACATTATTTCTAATTCTTTTCCTCCAAGTACTTTTCAGCCTACTCAGATTACTTCTGTGCTCATTATCTTTAAATACAATGCAAATCATTAATATTCTCCTGGCCCCTATATACCTATCCTTATTTAATTTCTAGGATGCATTCACACAGCTGAACACATTGGCCTTTTAAAAACCTTCTTCTTTCTTGATACTTGAGTTAACAGCTCCCCAGTGTTCTCTTCCAATCTCTGGACTGTTCACTTTATTTATTTTTTATCTGTGATGGAGTCATATTATATATATATATATGTGTGTGTGTGTATATATATATATATAGTATGCCACATACATTTTATCAGCTTGTAATAATTAGGCATGGTAGATATTGAGTTTCTATTCTCAAAAGAAGATACACAAATAGCCAACAAACATACAAAAATGCTCAACATTTTTTGAAAATATGCAACACTTGTATATCTTCTTTTGAGAATTATTTTGAGAATTTTTTTTTTATTTTAATAGGTGTTTGGGGAACAGGTGATGTTTGGTTATATGAATAAGTTCTTGAGTGGTTATTTCTGGAATTTTGGTGCACCCATCACTCGAGCAGGCACATTGTACCTAATGTGTCATCTTTTATCCCTCACCCCCATCCCACCATTTCTCCAGAGTTCCCAAAGTTTATTGTGTCATTATTATGCCTTTGGAACCACATAGCTTAACTGCCACTTATGAGTGAGAACATATGATGTTTAGTTTTTCATTCCTGAGTTATTTCACTTAGAATAACGGTCTCCAATTCCATCCAAGTTGCTGTGAAAGTCATTATTTTGTTCCTTTGTATGACTGAGTAGTATTTTATTATATATATGTTTTTTATATCACATTTATTTTCCAATCACTGATTGATTGGCATTTGGGCAGTTTCCTTATTTTTGCAATTGCTAGTTGTGCTGCTATAAACATGGTTGTGCAAGTATCTTTTTTGTATAATAACTTCTTTTTCACTGGGCAGATACCCAGTAGTGGCATTGCTGGATCAAATGGTAGTTCTACTTTTAGTTTTTAAGGAATCTCCACACCTTTTTTTCCTAGTGGTTGTACTAGATTACATTTCCACCAGCAGTGTAAAAGAGTTCTCTTTTCATCACATCCATACCAACATCTATTATTTTTTGATTTTTTGACCATGGCCACTCTTGGAGGAGTGAGGTGGTATCACATTGTGGTTCTGATTTGCATTTCCCTTCTCATTAGTGATGCTCATCATTTTTTCATATGCTTGTTGGCCATTTGTATATCTTCTTTTGAGAATTATCTATTCATATTTTTTTCTTTACACACACAAACTAGAAAGCCTAGAGGATTTGGATAAATTCCTGGAAATATGCAACCTTCCTAGATTAAACCTCAAAGAAATAGAAACTCTGAACAGACCAATAACAAGCAGTGAGATTTAAATGGTAATAAAAAATTGCAACAAAAATAGTCCAGGATCAGATGTATTCACAGCTGAAATTCTATCCGACATTCAAAGAAGAATTTGTACAAATCCTGTTGACTATATTTCATAAGATAAAGAGGGAATCCTCCCTGTGAAGCCCATATTACCCTAATACCAAAACCAGGGAAGGACATAACAATAAAAGAAAACTACAGATCAATATCTCTGATGAATATAGATGCAAATTTTTTAACAAAATATTAGCTAACCAAATCCAACAACATATGAAAAAAATAATCCACCATGATCAAGTTGGTTTCATACCAGGGATACAGGAATGATTCAACATATGCAAATTAATAAATCTGATACACCACATAAACAGAATTAAAATAAAAAATTATATGATCATCTCAATAGAAAAATCATTTGACAAAATTCAGCATTCCTTTATGATTAAAACTCTCAGCAAAATCAGCATAGCAGGGACATACCTTAATATAATAACAGTCATCTATGACAAAGCCACAGCCAACATAATACTGAACAGGGAAAATTGAAAGCATTCCCCCTAAGAACTAGACAAGGATGCCCACTCTCACCACTTCTATTCAACATAGTACTAGAAGTCCTAACCATAAGCAATCAGACAAAAGAAAGGGATCAAGGGCATCCAAATCAGCAAAGAGGAAGTCATACTCTTGGTGTTTGCTGATGATATAATCGTATACCTAGAAAACCCTAACAAGTCCTCCGAAAAGCTCCCAGAACTGATAAATGAATTCAGCAAAGTTTCAGGATACATTTCTTTTTTTTTTTTTTTTTTTTTATGAGACAGAGTCTCGCTCTGTCACCCAGACTGGAGTGCAGTAGCGCCATCTCAGCTCACTGCAAGCTCCACCTCCCGGGTTCACGCCATTCTCCCGCCTCAGCCTCCCCAGTAGCTGGGACTACAAGCGCCCGCCACCACACCAGGCTAATTTTGTTTTTGTATTTTTAGTAGAGACGGGGTTTCACCGTGTTAGCTAGGACGGTCTGGATCTCCTGCTCTCGTGATCTGCCCACCTCCACCTACCAAAGTGCTTGGATTACAGGCGTGAGCCACTGCGCCCGACCTCAGGATACAAAATGAATGTACACAAATCAGTAGCTCTGCCATACACCAGCAGTGACCAAGCTGAGAATCAAATCAAGAACTCAACCCCTTTTACAATAGCTGCAAAAATAAAATAAGATAAAATAAAATAAAATAAATACTTAGAAATATTCCTAACCAAGAAGGTGAAAGACCTCTATGAGGAAAACTACAGAATACTGCCAAAAGAAATCATAGATGAAACAAATAAATGGAAGCCCATCCTATGGTCATGGATGGGTAGAATCAATATTGTGAAAATGACCATACTTCCAAAAGCAATCTACAAATTCAATGCAGTTCCCATCAAAATACCACCATCATTCTGGACTGTTCACTTTAGTCTCTTGTGTAGTATCTTCATATCTTCATGTTTTACTATTACCTGTTGCTCCTTCCAGAGATTTAACTGGGGACTTTTTCTTTCTCACTTGATACACTTTTGCTGGGTAACTTTATTAGCCAGGTTTCTTGATTGCAAGCAACAGAAAACTATTTTTTTTTGTTGTTTTTATGAGTAAACAATGACTATATTGGACTCAAATGATAAACAAGAGGCTAGAAAAGAAGACAAAAGCCTAGCAGTCAGAGATAACTCTTAGAAATTTTCAAAGCAGAATGTTACTTTTTGTTTGTTTGTTTGTTGCTTTTTGTTTGCTTGTTAACAGGGTCTCACTCTGTCACTCAGGCTGGAATGAAATGGTACAATCATGACTCACTGCAGCCTTGAACTTCTGGGCTCAAAGTATCCTCCCACCTCAGCATCCCAAAGTGCTGGGATTACAGGCATAAGCCACCATGCCCAGCCTCAGAATGTTACTTTTAAGAATATGTCCAAAGTTTTAAAATCATTCAAGGGGCTTCTCTTTGCTATCTTCTGCCCAGCTACTCACTTGCTACAAGGTTGGTGCAAAGGTAATTGCTTTCAATGCCAAAAACCACAATCACGTTTGCATTAACCTAATAACTCTCCCAACCCCACTCCTTCCCCAGTTATTTGCTCCAGCCATATTAGACTTCTTTCAGCTCTTCTGTGATGACACAGTCATTGATCTTAGGCACGTACGTTTTACACATCTCATGAATACACTTCATGAGATCAGATCCTTTTGTTTTATTTTTTTTCCTTCTTTTCCCTGTGGAAAGCAATCCTGGACACTGCATTTCCTCTGTGCTCCACATATCTAGGTGGATGTCTCTACACTGTGCTCTCACAGAAACCTAAATTGCTACACATTAGAATATCTGATAGGCTTACTAACAATCTAATTGCTTATTTCCCCCTCTAGACTCTTAAAGGCTAAACCATAACAATTGTGCATACAATTATATCCCTATCACATAATATTACAGTAGATGTTAAACATTTGTTGAATAAATGCGTACACTGGGGAGTATAATTTAAAGAGTTTAAATTATAAACTCTTACTTTTGGAACAGATACATTTATATTGTTAATTATATAGCTAACTCATCTCATTCTGAATTGTTTCAAAAGTAACCTTCAGATTTTGATATGATGACTCAATTGGCTTGCTTACTTAGAGCCAGAGAATATAGTAATACATTGAGGAGCATTCTGTTTTACTCAATATTTCTATTATGGAAATCTACTAAATTGGCATTTCTTTTAGGTGGGGAGGTTTATGAAAAGCCAGTCAGGCACACATTTTTCCCTGTAATAATAATAATATAATAACAACAACAACAATAGCAAGGGCAAAATCTTTCTGAATACTATGTGTCAAAAATCATTCTAATCACTTTAAATTACTTAAATCATATAATCCTCACATACTTCTATGACACAGGAGCTAAATTATCCCCATTCGACAGTTAAAGAAGCTGAGGTAAAGAAAAGATAAATATTGTGACCTACCAAGTTCATGCAGCTAGTGTCAGAGTTGAAATTTGAATAGACACAGTCTGGTTCCACAGTTCGTGGCCATAACCCACTTATGATAAGGAAATCAAAATTAAAGTATCATCTTTTTTATTAATAACACTAGATCTGATGTTGCATCTTCACCTGAAGCAAAAATTGGTGACCTACAGCAGAACTGAGGCTGACTCCCCCAGTGAAACCCAGAAAGAATATCCAAATAATCACAGACCCCTCCAGGGTTTCTCTTTTTTCTCACAAACTTTGTGGAAAAGCCCAAACTACTCAGTGGGGTTATAGGAAACAAGGAAGGAATCATTAACCACTTCAGGTAAAGGAAAAATACCTCAGTGATGATTGGTACTGTCCATGTCTTACTGTGAGATACCTGGACCAGGTTGACAATTATTAAACGTAGAACAGCATTTTATAACCTCTGAAGAGTTAATTTTTGCTGCTAAGGTGTAGCATTGTTGTCACTTAAGAAAATAACAAAGTAATTAAATGTTTATATTCTAGGGAATCACAAATGAACGTGCCTGCTTTCAGGTAAATTGCTGCTTATGGAATATTAATAACCACCCACTAGTGTTTCTCTAATCTAACTGTGCAGTGGAATCACAATAAAGACTTGAAAAGAAATTCAGATGACCAGAGACTCCCACAGGGCCACTGGATCAGAATCTTGATTAAAAGAGCTGTGTCTTTACTTGATGCTCAAGTAAAGCCAGGATTGATAATGATGGTCGTAAACAGCTAAGACTGTTAACATGTCTAGAAAAATAAGTTAGAACAAACGTGGTAGTTGGTAAAAGTGTGTCTTATTACTAACAGAAGAAAAAGATTAAAGTTTTTAAAAGTTGTGTAGTCTGTATACCAGAAAATAGTTTTAATAAAATAAAGAAGGCTTGGCATGTATGTTTGAATAATGAGCCTGGGTTAAACTAGAATCAGACTAAGAACAAGGAATGAGTCGGCGAAGTTAGCATATATACGTGATTGACTTACATAAAAATTAGAATCTCAAATACAGGTTTGATAAAGTTAGAATTGAGTGTTTGGAAATATAAATTCAACAACAGGCCCCCATGAGAAACTTTATCTTGTTGTCTACATTTGCATTCAAAAAATCGAGGGAAAGCATATTTTTTTTTAAATTGATCTCTGTTCCTCTTTTCCTGTTGAATGCCCCTGATCAGATGTTGTAATCCCTTCTGATTTTGAACAGGCTATCATAATAGTTTCCCTCAAATACAAAAACAAAGTGGCATTATAAATATAATTGTAAATAAATACATTTGCTTTTCATTAATTTTCCTTAATACACTTACTTTTTATTTAATTAACTTCCATTTTTACCTTTTGCACCCTCTTGGAGAAAATTTCTATCATTCAATTAAAAAAGTATTCCCTATATCATCTTCCTTTGCTTCATATTTCTTTAAAAACTTTTTTTTTCTAAAAGGCAATTAATTTTGATGTTATATATTAATGCTGTGGCTTTCCTACTTCCGCTGTTCAGTGAGTGGGAGGAAGTGGTGCCCAGTGGCTTCTTTACTTCCATAGTTTGGTGAGTGGGAGGAAGTGTTACAGTTCTTTTACTCCTGCTGGTTGCAGCTCCAGGAGCTGAAGCACTACAGTTCCTGTACTCTGCAGTTCAATGAGTTCTGGGTTCTTGTCCCACAACCAAGAAGAATAAGGCACATGGCCACCAGAGAGTGAGTAAAGGCAGAGTAGGATTTCTTAAGCAACAGAAAAAGCTCTCAGCAGAGAAGGAGCCCAAAAGAGAGTTGCCTGCTGCAGGGCTAAGTTTGGGAGTTTTATGGACTGGAAATGAGGAAGAATGTGCTGACCAGTCTGTGGGTTGTTTTGGAAAAACACCATTCAGAAAAAGACATGAGAGTGTAAAAAGCCAATTAGAGGCAGAAGTGAAGGCTTGACCAGCAATCAGTCAGGAGTTGGAGTGATGTTTCAGTCCATGCAAATAAAGACTCAGCCTACGGCCAATCACAGAAAGATAAGTATATATAAAATAGGTGAAAGGTAAGCACCAACAGGAGGAAGCGTGTGAAATGGGACAAAGGTGTGCTGAAGGGAGAGAAAGCCACCCAAAAAAGAGTGGAATTTGTCCACCTGGGCTCACAGAGAGGGCATTTCCTTTCAGAGACACAAGCTTTTTCTTCTCTGGGGCCTGCAGCTTGGTTTTCAGGCTGTTCTTGGTTTGAGGGAGTTCTACCAAGGGCCCACCCTCACTGCATGCCTCACCAGTTCCTTCCTTCCTCCTCTCTCACTAAGTTTTTATGTCCAGCATCAAGACTCTTTGCCATATTGATATTATTTCTCTTGACTTGAAGCTAGTATTCTTCTAGTCTTCATTACCTTTACATGCTTCTATCAACTAGTGTTTTAATTATCCTGTATTTCTGTTAATACATGTGTTTTTCCATTTGTGAAGAACAAGCTTATACTTACAATTCTAACTGAAATGTAACTGAAATACAAAGTTTGAGTATAAAAGTATATACAGTGAGGATAAACTTATGCCATATTTATCTTTGCATCTCTAATGCTTAGCTTAGATCATGTAGAGGTGCTCAATAAGTATCTACTGTGTGGAGATATACTAGTACATAAGAGATTTGTGTTTTTCTAAGTTTTCCAAAGGCACAGGGGTCATTACTAAAGAAAATAGTACAATCAAAAGAAAAGAAACAAAAAATTTCTCATTCTTTCCTTTTCCTTTCTGTACCAAGGATCATTGAGATTCTGATGCTTTTTCATACTGTGAAATCACAGAAAGGTGTAGGATCACTTCTTGTTATTTATGTCAGTGAGTATCAGTTTATTTATTTGTAAACAGATGATTGAAAGACATATACTCCCTGCCTCAAAAGATACTGCTTTTTGTGATACTGGAAGAGATAAGATTCACAATACAGTTGTTTTTATTTTCAAATTGCTTTAAACATGTGTATCAGTAATCAATATTACTCCAAAAACTGAGAAACACTGCAGTATTAATTGGTCTTGTAAAAAAGTCAGAATAAATCTCATCCCAATCTAGTAAAAACTTTACAAACCTTATAAAATTGAAAGATACTCTTTCCACTGAAAAGATAAAGTATGGGGAAACTGAACCCACAATGCTAAGAGCAACAAGCAATTAATTGCCTTAAACATTTGAAATACTAGAACTAAAATAATATTTGGATTTTATAAAATGACAAAAGTAATAACAATCATTTTAAAAAGCTTTCATTTTTAAGTCATTTCTATATTCAAGGCACTTACCTCCCTAGCTTAACAGCAAAATATTCAATCTGCACAGATGTGAAGCCCGCATATATCCAGTTGTCTCCTTCCTTTTTCGAGAGAAACTTTCTAACAAACCTGCATTAACATTTCTGTATTTCTCTTTCTAACATACATGCATACACAAACATCCCCACAATCCTCAAACACCCACCTTTTCACTGCCCTTAGGATGGTATTCTAAAAATGTTTCAGCTTTCTGAAAGAAAAGCCAGGGAGATAAGTGCCTAGAATATAGAAAGGATTTAAAAACAAAAGCTTTTAAAAATCATTGTTATTATATTTTATCATTTTGTCAAATCCAAATATTATTTTAGTTCTAGCATTTAAAATATGCAAGGCAATTAATTGCTTACTAGTATTAATGTTGTGTGTTCAGTTTTCCCATACTTTACATAACTTTTCAGTGGAGAGAGTATCTTTTGATTTTATGAGTTTTATTTTTTTTTTTGAGATTACAAGCAAACCAATTAACTCGCAAGAGATGGAAATAAGTAGAATTAGCTTAGCTTAGGTAAGTGTAAGCAAAACAAGTTAGAACCTTTCAGTAAAATTTAATTCCTTTCTGCTTGGTTTTAATTTCCATACTCTTAAATACTTGCTACTTAATGTAATTATTTAAGAAAAATCAAAGAAGAAAATACTTCTGTGCTCTTGTAAACTATAAAAGATGATTTAATATATATTCATAAATATCTTTTTACTTTTTAGAAAGCTATTCAAGTTTGTGCTTACCAAACCAAAAAACTGAACTTTTAACATGATCATATTACTTTGTGTGATGAACCAAGTGGGTGCTTGCAAGCCTATGAACAGACCAGAGCACTGAAACATTGTAATTCATACTGGATAGCTCTGGTGATCTTGTTTTTTAAAAAGTTTTAAACGTCTATCTTCTGTGAAAACAAAACTAGGAGCTGCCTAAATTGAATTCCTAAAGGCAATTATTGTTTATATTTTATTTTTGGATTGAATTGTTCATTATGGGAATTAAAAAAAAAGACTGCTTAGTGTTTATAGTTCTTTGAGTCTCTTTGCCTGTTGATATGGGCAACAACAGAAAACTATCGATAACTAGGACAAGGTTAGCTAAAGACAGGGATTGCAATGTATAAATTATAAATGAAATAATTTTTAAAAACTGCTTTAAATATGTCTCTGAGCAAATGTTCATATACAGTGCACACATACAGATACACAACCAACGTTTCAAAGGTGTTCATTTCTGCCCCACATAATTTTAACTATCCCATTTAATATAACCATGTTATTGATCTAAAACATCTTTATAATTTTCACATTGTTGTCATTTGGAAATTTTAAAGCAGATTTAAATATTTTATTATACATACATTTGAAGTAGGTGCACCCTGATTCAAATGCCGATTTAATGTTCCATGGGATGGAAATTTTAACAAAAAGATCTATTTTCTTCTTCAGGCACAGATAAACAGTTTTCAGATATCTGTAAGCATCCACAGAGCTCACTATATGCACAGTAATGTGATCGTTTTAGAAGTTCAGTTATGGAGTGTGTGAAAGCCAGAACCATTCACTCAGCAGGCACAATCTTATGCAGAACTGGCACAGTCTGATATTCATCGGCAAGCTCTGTGTCTAACTCCCTGTTCCAGCAGCCCTTCTGTTACTCTACATTTAAAGAGAATATCAAATAATGTCCGTATGCATATTTAAATATTTAAGATGCTATTTTGCTAGTAAAATTCCTCTTATGATATTACAGACACTTAGGTTTTCTAGCAATCAAAATAGTATTATAAAAGCAAGTACTGTTTTATCTCCTGAAGGAAGAAAATAATTATAAAATTTTTGGTTTTGGTTACTGGAATGTGATATGTATTAACTTGGGCCAGTTGGCTGATTTTAAGATATTATAATGTTGATATATTCATATAGACTTAACAAAAGAGAACGTTATTTCTACTCAAAATATTAACCATATAAAAATAAAAATACAGTAAGTTAAAAGAGACAGAAAATATAAGGTAAATATAGCTTTGTAACAGTAGTATGCATACATATAAAATTTTAAAATAAAAGTAAATATTTTATGATATTTCACATTTCAGGGATATAACGTGAATGTCTGTAAGTGTTCAAGTTATTTGGGCAAAGACACTTATAGAATAAATAGCTATTAGTAGAAATAAAAGTGAAACCTGAATTAGCTATTTCAGAATGCTATGTTGGAAAATAATTATATATCTATAGTAATGTTCATGGATTTAATATATTTTAGGTTCATTTTACATATATTCTAATGTAGTTTCATTAACAATGTCATCATTTTTAGGACACTAGATCACACCAAAACAATGATTGTATTTTATATTCTTATGAAATACTCTAGCTACTGAAAAGTCAATTACATAGATTTTACAAAGAATTCTGGTTGCTTTAACTTTCCTACACTAGCTATTGTTATATATGTTAAAAATCCTTTACATTTGTTAGTCATTTCATTATTTTAGTAGAATAATAAATAGGCCCAATATGCTTTAATAATGTAAAAATCAAGAAATGTACATAAATTTGCTAATATGAATTTTTTCATTACTTCTGCTAAGATAGAAATTCCCATGTAAATGAAAGTATAAATTGTTCACATTTTTAGGAAACTAAAAATACAGTCTCTACTCAACAATATCACTTCAGTGATTAATGTATTTTTAAAAGTACAACTGGGCCAGGTCCAGTGGCTCATGCCTGTAATCCCAGCACTTTGGGAGTCTGAGGCAGGCAGATCACCTGAGGTCAGGAGTTTGAGACCAGTCTGGCCAACATGGTGAAACCCTGTCTC
Organism: Homo sapiens; assembly: GCF_000001405.40. NCBI lineage: Eukaryota > Metazoa > Chordata > Mammalia > Primates > Hominidae > Homo > Homo sapiens. The sequence continues at coordinate 132,280,673 of NC_000004.12, read as the reverse complement.
TACTGAAAATACAAAAATTTGCCAGGTGTCTTGGTGGGTGCCTGTAATCCCAGGTACCTGGGAGGCTGAGGCAGGAGAATCTCTTGAACCTGGGAAGTGGAGGTTGCAGTGGGCTGAGATCATGCCACTACACTCCAGCATGGGTGACAGAGCGAGACTCTGTCTCAAAAAAAATAAAAAAATAAAAATAATAATAAAGTACACTTATGTATGTAAGAAGATATTCATTAAAGTACAGTTTATATGGCAAGTGGGGGTGGAGACTGTATTCGTCCATTCTGCGTTGCTATGAAAGAATACCTGAGGGCAGGCAATCTATAATAAAAGAGGTTTATTTTGGCTTGTGGTTCCACAGACTGTACAAGCATGGCACCAGTATCTGCTTCTGGTGAGTCCTCAAAAGCTTTCCATGATAGTGGAAGGCAAAGGGAGAGCTGGTGTGTCATATGGTGAGGGGGGGTGAGAGAGAGAGGAGGAGGTGCCAAGATTTCTTTGAAACAAACAAATCTTACTTGAACAAACAGAGCAAGAACTCATTACCATGGGGAGTGCACCAAGCCATTCATGAGGGATCTGCCTTCATGACACAGACACCTCCCACCAAACACTGGGGATCACATTTCAACATGAGATTTGGAGAGGACAAAATATCGAAACTATATCAGGGACTAAGACCAACAAAGTATTAATTAATAGAAGACAAATTTTTAAATTTTGTTACATTCATACAGCTAATTACTCTGGAAATGTTAAAATTAATGAAGTAGTATAAATCTAAGGCAGACATGGAAACTACATTATGAAAATAATGAAGTAAATAAGACAATTTTTCATAAAGATAAGCAACAAAATGTTTTTGAAACACAAAAAGAGAAGTATAAATGAGTTTAAAAAGCTGTGGGTGACATTCATTTTTGTTCTATAGTTTAACGAATTGACTGACTACTCTCCCCTTGTACAGGCATTATTTTTACGGCTATTTATGTTTAATCTCAAAGTGATTATTGTATTGGAATTATAGATCATTTTAATATTCTCCATTACATTTTTATTTATTTTGAAAATGAACAATTATTATTAAAAATAAAATAAGACGCTAGTAAAGAGAACAGATTATTTTATTACAATAAAAAATCCCTCATTAGAATGCTTTTTATGGAATCTCTAATTTAGTTCTAGAAGTTTGAAAACTTGAATCTCCTAAGTCTTCATCTATTTAATATTCATGAACCTTCAGGAAAAGAAAGATTTACTTGCTTAACATTTTACCAATATTTTGCCTGGGGAAAAAAAGGAAATGATTATAAATATTGAAACAGTCACTATCCTGTAGAAGTATCTGATTTTACAGATTAGAACAATAAAAATAACCGTTTCCACACAAAGTGTTAATTATCATTTCCATTCATGAATTTCACCATCTGTACAAGCCTTACATAATTCCGAATTCAGATTTTGCTTCACTAATTAAAGGTACTTTTTAAGATTCAAAGAAAATAATTGAAACCATCTTTTTTGCAATTGATGACACATTAACATAATTCCGTGAAATTTAACTTTTTGTACAATTGTATTTTTACTGCTTTTAGTAATTTCTGAAGATACCTGCTTAATAACATATTAATGTTTTCCTGTTTAAATTTTGGATTAGTAACAACTAATAAATTTTTTGTTTCAGTAAATATATCCCTTGGGAAAATTGCATTAGCTATAAATGTTTATCCAAATTTTCAACAGTTAAGTCTCATTTTTATAACAAACATTATCCATTATTATATAGAACTGTTTAAAGTCTGGGATTTTACCATATTTGCTAAGCTAGAAAACCAGTCTGTTAGCGTCTGTGGATGCTGACAGAAGACACACGATTCTTGGATTGAAGACAAATAACTTTACTACTTATTGCAAAAGTCATGGCAAGAGTTTCCTGTTCATGCTGTTTCTCCATGTTCCCCCATCCCAAAGGGGCAACCCAGGTGGCTGAGATGGGTGACTGCATACACAGTGGGTTACACTAGAGGATGGAAGTGCTGTGAGCTGAGGTAATCTACTGCTTTTATTGTAATCCTGCTATTTGTCTGGTGGGATGTATTAAATTGAGATTACATATGCAAAGGCAATCCTCAGAAATGGCCCATATAAAGAATAGTGAGACATTGCATTCTCAGGTTACTAGTAAGAACACACAGAGCCTTTGGAAGATTGTCTCTCACTCTGTTGTTAACAATTAAGTTTCACTTGTTAGGAGTTTTTTTTATTATATGACCCACAGGATATTTATAAGTGTCTACCACAAAGCATAATTGATATGTGATGGATTTCAATTTGGGGGGGATCTTCTGGAAACCCTGCTTTAATGTATTGTAACAAATGTAATAAGATGTATACAAAGTCAGTAATAGAGAACTTATTATAATTACAAAAATAGTGCAAATTCATTGGGGACTGATTAAAAATATGTCACAATAGGAAATTATAAACTGGAAAGAGTATTGAAAGTAGCACAATTAACCTAGGGGAAAACAACCGACAGTAGTAGTAGGCTATTTAAAATACCAACAGTAACCAGAGCCAAGAAAGGAATAATTACGTCTAGAGATGTTAGAAGTATTGCACACATCAGTTAGATCTGGAATTTGGAATAAATACACAACTTTAAAATAACAAGTTATAAGCATTAAACAAAATCACTCTGGATTCAATTCAAGAAATTTTAAAAAGCCAAATGAAATATTGGATGTCCAATAGTGAACTGGTAACTTATTTGTCCACAAATAACTTAATGAAGTAGGAAATTCAGACAAAAGTCACATCATCTAGGGCCATGGTATAAAGCTTGGCTTTTATTTTCAATGTAATAGAAAGCCACTAAAATTAATAAGTTTTAGACATGGTTTGATTTATAATTTGCAAAAATTACTCTGTCAGCCTTTGAGTATTGACTATCTGGGAAGAAAACGATGGAAACAGGGAAACTAGTAAGAAAACAAGAGAGTAGAATGGAAGTTGGGAGGTAAGTGAGGAATGGAGAGATGTAGGCCAAAGGGTACAAAGTTGCAGATATTTATAATGAATAAATCTAGAGACCTACTGTAGGACACGAAGAATATAGTTAGTAATATTTTAATATATACTGGAAATTTACTAACAGAGTAGATTTTAGGTGCTCTTACAACATGTGCACAAAAATGCTAATGGTGTGGGATGATAAATACATTAATTTTGGTGACTGTAACAATCATTTCACTGTGTGTATATATATCAAAATATCATGTTGTACACATTAAATAGATTTAAGAAAAAGAGGAAAGAAAGAGAGAAGGGAAGGGAAGAAGGAAGGAAGAAGGCAAGGGAAGAGAAGGGGAGAGGAGGAGAAGGGAGGAGAGAGGAGGGGAGGGGGAAGAAGGGAAGAGGAGGGAAGGGGAGGGGAGGGGAGGGGAGAAGAAAGAAAGGAAGAAAAAGTTCATTTAGGAGATTAAAATTTTAGAAAAATTGTTCACGACTTCCTGATATTATAAAAGGGTGATTTCTAAGTGTGTAAAGAATTAAGTATCAAAAATAATTAGTTCGTTCCTTTTCATTCTTTTTTCTCTAATCTTGTCTTCATGCCTTATTTCAGCAAGGAGGTCTTCAATATTGGATATCCTGACTCTCCCTTGATTGATTCAGCTATTGATACTTATGTATGCTTTACAAAGTTCTCGTGCTGTGTTTTTTAGCTTCATCCATTCATTTATGTTCCTTTCTAAACTGATTATTCTAATTAGCACTTCCTATAACCTTTTATCAAGGTTCTTAGCTTCATTGCATTGGGTTAGAACATGCTCCTTTAGATCAGAGGAGTTTGTTATTACCCACCTTCTGTTGCCTACTTCTATCAATTCCTCAATCTCATTCTCCATCCAGTTTTGCATCCTTGCTGGAGAGATGTTGTGATCATTTGGGGAAGAGGGGTTCTGGCTTTTGGAATTTTCAGCCTTTTTACACTCATTATCGTGTATTTATCTACCTTTGATCTTTGAGGCTGATGACCTTTGGATGGGGTTTTTGTGTGGGGTTCTTTTCTGTTGATGTTGTTTTTGTTGCTTTCTGTTCGTCAGTTTTTCTTTTAACAGTCAGACCCCTCTTCTTCATGTCTGCTGCAGTTTGTTGGAGGTCCGCTCCAGACCCTCTTTGCCTGGGTATCACCAGTGGTGGCTGCAGAACAGCAAAGATTGTTGCCTGCTCCTTCCTCTAGAAGCTTTATCCCAGAGGGGCACCAGCCTTATGCCCGCCGGAGCTCTCCTGTTTGAGGTGCCTGTCAACCCCTGTTGAGAGGTCTCTCCCAATTAGGAGGCACAGGGGTCAAGCACCCACTTGAGGAGGCAGCTTGTCCCTTTGCAGAGCTGGTGTGCTATGCTGGGAGAATTGCCCTTGTCAGAATCAGCTGCTCTCTTCAGAGCTGGAAGGCAGGAAACTCTAAAATCTTGACTTAAAAAGTTAAAGTTTAAGAGCTATTGTTTTTCAACTATTTCATTTTAATTAGAGTCAATTTGGATTCACAGATACAAAATGATATAGAATGCATATGGATGATATTTCTATGGAAATAATATAACAAATGGAACAATGAATATTCCACTAAGACTAAATTTTACTTCTGATGCTAGCCTGAACTCTTCATCTAGACTGTCTTCTACTGTACTTCCCTAATTGTTAAATACAAAATATGGCCTATCATTCAGGTTTCAAGCTTGAAACCTGGTGGTCATCCTGACTCACCTCTCTTAATCGTCCCAAACAGGTAATGAGTCAAGAGTTCTATTTACTTTACCTCTTCAATATCTCATAAATTAACATTTTTATTTGTTATTTTCACAATATACTATGCTGTTGCTGGTGCTTTTCCTCTCTCAAACAAAGGCAAGGAATAACAAATTAATTTCCTCTAGTCTAGCTACTTCAGAATCTCTGCAAGATGATTTTTTCCCCCTTTAGGGTATTACAATGTAAGCTTCCAGGTACAGTAAATATGTGTGTGTGTGTGTGTGTGTGTGTGTGTGTTGATTACATATAGTAGAAATCATTATAATTTTGTAAGAAACATTGGTTTGAGTTCTTTAAAAATGGTATTTTAAATTTAAATGTAAAATGGTCACATTTTTGAACAAGTTATATTATGTAATTTTGATTAATTTCCAAATGAGCTATCTATATTTTTGTAGAGGTAATTTTTGGAGAGTTATTTAATATTAGTTATAATAGGTGATTTATTTATTAGTTTTACAAATGAACAGGAATGGTGGCAAAAGGACATTATTGGTAACTAATATCCATTCCTGATAGCTTTCTTTAGAATCTTTTTTCTCCAAATTAAAGTTTCTTTATTTATAAAATACAGACAATACCATTTAGCTTACAAGTTTTTTGTATAGATTAAATATTAAAATTTGTGAACCATAGGACACGCTCTGTAACTGGCAAATATTTATACATGACTGACACCTCCAGCTGCCACCCTTTGGTTCTTATATAGAAACTTGTAACTATATAATGCAATTATTTATGTACATTAAAAACACTAAGCAGATTTTCTGTGTATTTTGGATTTGACAAGATGAGAAAGAATTTCAAATCCAGTTACTACATTTCTAATGTAAATTTGATAGAAGTGGGAGATAAATAATTTCTTTAAAGTATTCCTTCACAATTTGGTTAAATAAGGATATCATTCAAAAAAGAAGTTGATGAAATAATGCTAGCACCCTAAAAATTAATCAAGGTTCCAAGATTGTCAAGCTGGGAAAAGAAATATTAATTTGTGCTATTTTTAATTAAATAATTTTCATATTTAAAATGTTAAAATGTTAAATCATTGAATGTTAAAATCATTGAAAGTCCTTGAGATTGAATGTATACAATATAAAAGAAACACTTTTTCAATTATTTCTTGATTATTTTCAATAAATTAGTAAATTAATTTAAAGAAGCTTTCTATGAATAAATATAGGACATAAAATGTGAACATGATTTAGTTTTTTTAGAGAAGTTTTAGGTAAGTTGGAAAGACTTATCTAAAATACATACTATAGTTTTACATCCAAATCCCCTTTTATAAATCAGAAGTTGCTGTACAGCAGTTTCTCTCCATGTAATGCTCCAAATCTCAGGGTGTAGAGTTCACTTTTCTCATTTATAGGTGTGAATATAACTTCTATAAATGGCTTTGAACATCTGTAGAATCATGACACAGCTGTCTGAATTCTACTTATGGTGGTAAGTAGTTGTCTTTCTGAATCAGCTCTTAATACTGACTGTAGTGACCTCAAGTTTGTATTGATTTGGCCACCATTAGATGAAGAAAACTTTTATTATCTGCTGCCTCATCTATTACTATGAGTTTTCAAAATATTTTCTGAAATATCTGTGACAAATAATTTCATTCTCTTAAGAATCATTTAACTTGACAGAAAGAATTTTAGAACACAGTAAGGCAAGTAATGGATTCTTAGTTTGTAACTGCGTTAAATAAAGCCAGACATTTATCTAGGTTAACATCCTCTTATAGAGCAATAATTAGTGTATTAACTATATTGAAAAATGTGTTTTTTATAAAATATGCTTAGCAAGGAGAAATATATTTAATTCTGAAAAAATAATGTCCATTGATATTATTCTAACTTTATCCCATGTGCTATAAAATAATTGGTTACTATTATTATTTTAATTTACATTCACTGCAATATTCACTTTTCTGATGTACCATTATTTATGTTTTGTAAGTGAATAGATTCCTATAACCACAACCACAGGCAGTATACAAACAATTCAAGTGCCCTAAATAATTTCTCATGCTTTTCCTACATTTTTGCCTTTTTCAGTATGTCAGCCATAGAGTGGTATACGCTATGTAGAACTATGCAGTACGCCATGGGTTGAGTCTGCTTCTTTCACTTAGCATAATGCATTTGAGAATTTTTCATGTTGTAACTAAGCAATATTCCATTGAGTGATGTAACACAGTTTGTATATCCATTTACCCATTAAGAAGCAGGCAGATTGTTTCTAAATTCTGGCAATCATGAATAGCCACTATAAACTTTATGTCTAGATTTTTTTAAATTTATGGATAATATAATTTATACATGAAACATCGGTTCAAACATAAGCCTATGAACATAAATTTCTAGGGAAAATTCCCCCAAGAAATGCAATTCCCAGGTGCTTCAATAAGTATTTTTAAGTTTATAAGAAACTTTAATACTATTTTTTAGAAAAACTACATCATCTTGCATTCTCATCAACAATGTAGGAGTGTTTCTCTTTTTCTACATCCTTGCTAGTTTTTTATGTTGTCTTGTTTTGTTTAGTTATTCTAATAGATTATAATGTGTGTTTATTTCTCTAGTTACTAATGTTGATGAGCATTCTTTCATTTGTTGATTTTCTTCCCATTTATCATCTTAGGTGAAGTGTCCGTTCCCATCTTTCGCCTGTTTTAAAATTGGGGTTACTGGCCGGGTGCCGTGGCTCACGCCTGTAATCCCAGCACTTTGGGAGGCTGAGGCGGGTGGATCACGAGGTCAGGAGATTGAAACCATCCTGGCTAACATGGTGAAACCCTGTCTCTACTAAAAATACAAAAAATTAGCCGGGCGTGGTGGCGGGCGCCTGTAGTCCCAGCTACTCGGGAGGCTGAGGCAGGACAATGGCGTGAACCTGGGAGGTGGAGCTTGCAGTGAGCCCAGATCGTGCCACTGCACTCCAGCCTGGGCAACAGAGCAAGACTCCGTCTCAAAAAATAAAAATAAAATAAAATAAAATAAAAAAATAAAGTTGGGGTTGCTAGTTTTCTTACTTTTGCATTTTTATAATAATTTATATATTCTAGATGCAAGTCTTTTCTCTGAAACTTAATTTGCAGTATTTCCCCCCAGTTTGTAACTTCTCTTTTTATCCTTTTACCAGTTCCCTTCACAAAGCAAGAACATTTTAACTTTGATGAAGCACAATTTACAGGCTTGTCTGTTGTATATTGTTCTTTTGGTGTCATATCTATGAATTCTTTGCCTCATCCAAAGTCACAAAGGTATTTTTTCCTGTATTTTCTTCTAAGGGTTTTGAAATTGTATGCTTTATGTTAAGGTCAATGATCTGTTTTGAGTTAATTGTTAAATTATTAGTTGTAGGTTCATTTTCTCCTGACTGTGGGTGTCTGGTTGTTACAGGCCCATTTGTGTTGACAAGACTATCCTTTTTCCATTGAATTACTATTGAATATTTATTGAAAATCAATTAAAGTATGTGTGTGGATCTATTTCTAGATCTTCTGCTCTTTTATTCCATAGTTTTACCTTTCATTGATACCACACTGCCTGGACTACTGTAGATTTATAGTATCTCTTAAAGTCTGAAAGAGTAAGTTCCCCAACTTTGTTATTTTTCAAAATTGTTTGACTATTTCAGTTTCTTTAACTTTCCATATAAGTTTTAGAATCAACTTGTCAATATCTAAAAAGAATCTTGTTGGAGTTTTCATTGGGATTACAGTTCATTGATCAATTCACTTGGCAAATGTTAACCTCTTAACTATGTCAAATCTTCCAAACTATGAACACAACACATCACATCATTTATGTAGGTTTTCTTTGGTATCTTTAATCAGCATTTTTTAGTTTTCAACATATACATTGTGCGCATTTTGTAAAAGATTTATACTTAAGCATTTCATTTTGGGAGGAGCTACTGTAGATAGTGTTGTGTTTTAAAATTTCAGTTGTTGTTTATTCCTATTATATCAGAAATATCATTTTTGTAATTGTTTTTATACTCTAAACTTGCTAAAGCCAGTTACAATATCTAAGAGATTTTTTTCGTCAATCCTCTGGAATTTTCTACATATACAATTATGTCATTTGTGAATGGTGATAGTTTTATTTCTTTCTCACTAATCTGAATGTATTGTATTTCTTTCTCTTGCCTTGTTATAATTTCTAAAACTTCCAGTATAATATAAAACAGGTGAGGTGATTATTATGAATACACAAATATAAGCAAAAATAATAAAAAATGAAAATAAAGAAGCACAAGGAGCTGCTAAAAAATAGAAGTGTTGAGAGAACAAAACCACTAAACAAAACCAACATCTCTCTTGTACGTAAACACAGACATTCTCAAGAAAGTATTAGAAAATCAAATCCATCTCTCACACACTCTGTCTCTGTCTCTCCCCTACACATACACACACACCCATGCACACACACACACACACAAATATACATCAGGACCAAGTAGATTTTTCAAGAAATGCAAGGTTGTATCCACACTCAAAAATCCAGCAATAAAATTCACCTTATTAATAGACATAATAAAAAAACCGTAATCATATCAATAGACACAAATTTATTGCTTAGTTTCCCACCCTAAGGGGAGAACACGGAATCATCTTCACTAAATGTCATGTTAGCTCTATGCCTATTCTAGATGTTCTGTATCAAACTGAGAAAAATATTTTGCTTCTTAGATTATTTCAACATTCATAGATACTGAATTTTTAAAAAGTTTGCTCACTTTAGATAGATAAACATATGGATATAGATATAGATAGGTAGATATTACTGGATTCAATTTTCTAATACTTTACTGAAGATTTTTGTATCTATGCTCTGGAGAAATGTTGGACTGTAGTTTTATTTCCTCTTATTATCTTTTGTTTTGACATGAGTATAATACTGGTCTCATAAAATGTGTGTTTCTTAAAGGAAGTTTTGTTCATCTTTTATTTTCTGTAAGAAATTACCAAGAGTTAGTAGCATTTTTCCCTTAAATAACCAGTAGAAGTCACCAGTGGAACCATCTAAAACCAAAGGGTTTTTTTGGAAGCTTTTAAACTGCAAATTTAATATTTCTAAATAGATACATGGCTGTTCAGGTTATATATCTTGTTCTGAGTGATTTTGGTAATTTGTCTTTAAGGAATGGCTCCAGTTCATCTGTTTTCAAATTTATTATATGAATCCAATTACAGTATTTTTTTATCCTTTAATGTCTGTACTGTATTGGTGATAGTGCCTGGTTTACTGATACCACCTCTTTTAATCCTGATGCTGATAATTTGTGTCTTTTTTTTCAAACTGATTTGTATTAAACAATGAATAAAATACATTCATTTATATCATGATTTTGACACAATGTTTCCTAAGATTAAAAATATATCTTCTGATATTGTTTCAAAAATAAACAGCGACCAAATGAAATATGTCAATATTGAAATATGAGGTATGTGGGAACAATTTGCTAATTTATAAAAATTGTCAATTTTATCAGTGATATATAGAATTCTATTGTCCTCAAAATAACATTAAAGTGTCCTATGTTCTGACTGAAGGTAACAGTTCTATTATCACTTCTCTCTGTAACTTAAATATCTACTAAATACTGTAAAAGTTGTACATAAAAATTATTGTAGATTGGATTATATAGTAACTCCGGTTTCCAGCATAATTTTTAACAATTTTATTTCTTTGTATGTACATACTAGTAGATTTTTCCAATTTTAATTTGCACTGTTTGAATTAACCTTTAACAATTAAATCAAGTGCTTTTAAAATTAGCTGAATTTAGTATACTTATTTAATATAATTTAATATACCAATTTAATACAAACATTAATATATTGAACTATTTTACTGACCTCTGTAGAAGTCTCCCAAAAATGTTTTTTTGGAGGAGGAAGAATTTATATAGTTAGGTGAGTTTATGAAGCATTATATTATATCCATTATAGCTATTCAGGTTGTTCAATGCAAAAAGTTCTCAGTTAAAAAGCACAGTATACTCCATAGCTATATAACAGCACATTATCTGGCATGGGCAGGTGAGAGATTCCAGGCCTCCTGGAGAGAGCAACAGAGGAGCAACCCCCTCCTATATAAACCAACACCTTCTCACAAGACCCTGAGTATCCTTGAGAGTACACTTCTCCCTTGAGAGTAATGCTTCATGGAAGCATTCATTCAATGGAACCGACATATACATCTGTCTTGACCATGCTGCTGATGTACTGTCTGCTGTGGTCATTTTCTTTGCCAGTTTGTCACATCAGACGTCGTGTTTATTTCCCTTTGGCTAATATCAAACCAGATACCTTTTCTTCAGCTTAAGATTGGGAAAGCTTGGATTGTTTCTGTTGCCAGAGGCATCAATGACAGACCCGATACCTGATGTATGTGGGAGTAGACCAGAGCATGGCTGCACTTGTGTGAAGAGCCAGAACCTCTGGACTCAGGGCGCTGAAATGCTCCTCTTGATTAAGACCAAGTTGTCAAGCTACCAGGGCACATCTTTCTGATTTGCATGAAGCTGCTATAGGGACTATCCCTTTTTTGGAGATACATAGTGTGTATTTACAAGTAAAATAATTTAAAAACTCATAGCAGGAAAAAAAAAGCATAAAATGTGTTTGAACCCAATATATAACACAGGTCTAATGCCTGACATGATTACCTATTATTTTATTGAGAACTTATAGGCCGGTAGTGGTGGCTCATGCCTGTAATCCCAGCACTTTGGGAGGCCGAGGCAGGTGGATCACTTGGTCAGGTGTTCAAGACCAGCCTGGCCAACATGGTGAAACCCCGTCTCCACTAAAAATACAAAAATTAGCCGAGCTTGGTGGTACACACCTGTAATTCCAGCTACTTGGGTGGCTGAGGCATGAGAATCACTTGAACCCAGGAGGTGGAGGTTGCAGTGAGCTGAGATCATGCCACTGCACTCCAGCCTGGGTGACAGAGTGAGATTGTCTCTAAATAAATAAATAAACAGAATTTATAATATGTATTAACAAAATGATCTAAAACTCATCATATTGTTTAAGAAGATGAAATTTGGTTTGATCTGATAGCCGATATAAACAAGCTAAATTAGTTTTGTTTACTTAAGTTGTTATCTCATGCAACATTCTTAACTGTCCTTTAAGAATAGGAAAGTTGTCTGTTATCCTTTTTCTTTTTATTCATAGCTCTAAGAATTGGACTTGGCACATTTTAGTTGCTAAATAAATAATTGCTAAATATAAATAAAATAAACTTTTAAAATATTTTATTCATCCTTTTTTGGTGTTTTTTTAAAAAAAGAAAAACAAAGAAAGAAAACAACTTTTATTTAAAACAAATTCTTCTTAATACAAAAACTAGAGAAATTGAGTCATCACTGTGACTTGACTGTAAAAGTGAGACTGTTAAGAATTATAATGACCTCCCAAACATGGAGAACTTCAATATAACCTGTTAAATTCTCAGTCTGAGTGACTTTTCTTAGAGTTTTATTTTACTCTCTAACATTTCACAAATGTATCATATTGAAAAAAACAAACACTAACCTTTTCCCTCTTTAACTGCAACTAATTATATGGCTTGGACTTTAATTTGTTCACTCATAAATTGGATGATTTAGACTACATTGTTCTTATGGTTCTTTACATGTGTAACCTGTATAAGATTTGGTGCTTTTTACTTTGAAAATGAACTTTACTCAATAAATAAAATATGACAAAATCTTAATTAGTGCAATGACTGCTAAACAATGAGGTATTGATATTAAGGAAAGTAAGAAAATATAGTGGAAAGAAAATATTCTTTGGAATTAGCCAAATATGAACTTGAATCCCCTTTGACTTGCTATCCATGAGATCTTCAGATGGGTTCAATAAAATAATGAAGATTTAGATACTCTCTCTATAGAATAGAGGCAATGAGACATAAACTGTGATGGTAATAACTATTAATATAATAAAACTATGTCTGGCTTTTTTACATTATGTCTGTCTTCTTTTTAGTGTAATATATTTTGAATGACAGTAGATCCCAGTAACTATTTTAGTGTGACAGAAATTTATGCTTTTTCATCTATTTTGTTTGCTAGTGGTAGTTTTATTATTATTGTTGTTTTAATTGACAGATGAAATTGTAAGTACTTATCATGTACAACTTAGTGTTGAGATATGTATACCAAGTGGTAGTTTCTAAAAGGGCACAGTTTCAGTTAAAATTTATCCATATAGTTCTTGGGTTTTTAGAAGCCAGCTAATTTATTTTTACCCTCACCACTATGAATAGTAGGCTGTTTATGGTAGTTCTTTTTTGAGCTCTGTTGCTACAGTCAAGCACAGCTTGAAAAGAATATAGTTCCAACCTCTTCGAAGCAACACTGTAGAAGCATATCTTAGCTACATCACATTTTGTCGTATTTAGCTTTTTCACTCTTTTTGCTTTCTCTGAGGCCAAAGAGGACAAACACAGTACTGATGCTCCCTTAGATCAGGTTAAGAACTCAAAACACTCAGATTTTTCTTTCCTGTCTGTCATATGGTATAAAATATACACCTCAAGAGGTTTCCCCACTCAGGTATGCAGGGGATTTGAACATACCCAAGAAATCGTTAAGTTCCCTGAACAAAACCTATAAGCCTTGGGGAAAAGCAAAGTTCAGCCAGACCAAATCTGGGTGTCCCACAGTGCTTTCATGCAAATACCCAGACTAATCTCAAATAATTGCAAGTATATTTAAGGTTATTACGGAGATTACATTTAATATACCTGTGCCTGCCATCTGCTGTACCTTTCAGGGAAATGACACTAAACATTTGGGAATTCTTTTTTTAATAAGCAATAATGTTTTATTGCTCATAAAGTATGAATGAAGTAAACTCTTTTAATTTTAATTACATGTGAGACATTTATATTATGTCACTTCTGGGAGAAAGAGTTATATGTCTTGTGTGGGGGTGGTGAATTACAGATGCAATGAATATACACAGATATATGCATCTCAAATATACAACCTTTTAAAATATTACTTTATGTATTTTTTGACTTTGTTAAAGAACAAAAGTTATTTTTAAAAAACATGTAGCATCAATTCAGGCAGAGGAAAGACAGGAAGTCCATCTTCCCAGGCAGATGTCAAAAACATTTAAACAGCTGTCAGACCAGTTCAAACTGTCATCAGAAGTGACCTTAAACCAAGTTTAGTTTTTAAATGTTCTTAAAGAGTGAAAAAAAAAAACCACAACACAGTGCCATTATGCAGCTGTCTGAAATATTAAATGAAACAATGAACATCTGTTCAGTTGCTCTTCAAACTTTAATGGTTTGGAGAGAAATTCTGTTGTCTTAGATCTTTAAGAACATCTGAGGCCCATACAGCTTCAACACCTGCGAAAGTTCCTCTCTGAAAACGGAGATTCCCACTTCAAAGTCTTTTACTACCGCTCTTTGCCAAACATATGCCACCAAACAACAGAAAAAAAGTATTAATGCTATTTATAATATTTAAGACCTTCTTGCAGTATATTTTAGGTTGATAATAAAATTCTTTGGCCTTAAACAAGCTTTTATTTACAGAAAATATACATTTTTTCCTTTTAATGGAAAATACTAAAGTAGAAAAATTTGGTAGCAACAGTTGAGATATCATTTTTAGCATGGTTAAACATTGGATATTTGAAAGCATTTGTTTTTAGAACTAATATGTATATGGTATAATGATATTAAAACACAATACCCCCAAATATCATTTTTTATTCAGCATTTATAATATCATTCCTTTTAGAGCTAAAAGAAATGCTTCACAGAAAAGCATCAGGTTTATATAAAGTATTCACTGAATAAAAACTATCTTACTGATAAAAATAAAATGCTCCCATAAATACTTTTGCCTATTTAGTATGAACGTACATTTTCCGCTAATGCCTTTATACACATACATATGTTTATGTGTGAGTGTGTATGCATGTGTCTATGTGTGGATAATATGTTTTCCATAATCTAGATAAAGATACAATACTCAAAATTTAACACAAATAAGTCATAACTTGCCCTTATTAAAGAGATTCCATATAAGTCTATTTGTGTATGTTCCATATAGGTCTACTTGTGTATGTGAATTTGAAGAAATCATCTTTAAATTCCCCAGGGCTCTTTTGCATCTATGAAGGGAAAGCAAGTTTAGGATTTAAAATACAAGAGACTATTTAAAGTCAGAGTCATTTTAAGTTAAATTGAAATTTAGGCACTTGCATATCATTACATATGAGTTTTAAAAAGATACAATTTATTACCTGACTATACATATACAAATAATATGTTAAATGTCTATCAGTTGAAAAATACTAGTGAAAATACAGAGGGATTTATAGGAAAACTATACTTTTAATTTAATATCTGGACACATGAGGAATATTGCTGTAAACTGACATTAGACTGAAAAGTTAAATTTCTTAACGTCCCTGGAGATGCTACTCAGCAGCTCTTTACACTGGCTCCACATTGAAAACATCAAGGAACATTTAAAAAATTCATATACACAGATTATACCCCAGACCAAGTCCATTAGAATCTCTAGGTTCAGGCTAGGCATCAGTAGTTTTTAAGACTCCCCACATAGTTATAATATGCATCCAAGTTTGGGAACCATCTGTATAAAATGTAAACAAATAACCATTTATAACCAAATGATCATATGTTTTGCATTAGTTTATCTATATTTTATGATTTTTAGAAAGTATTTTAATGCATAAGTGTCTATTGCATTTAATTTCATTTCCTTGGTTTGTATTGATCATCAGCTAATATTTCATTCTACAATGAAACGTGTAATATTTATTAAAGTGTTTAGTATTTCCATCAGTCTGCCAGTAAAGACTCATGAAAATATTTTCCACAGAATGTCACTGGTGGATTGTAAAATTAAATCTAGAAATGAATAAATTAGAGAAACAAAGAAAAACAATTGTCTACTCACATTGCCAAAGGCAATTTAAGTTCAATTTGAACTATATACAAACCTTTATGTTTACAATGGCAACATGTAAATATTTTAAATACATTATTATATATACATTCAACAGTATTAGTAAATCATTTATACATTATGATTTTATTTTTACCATGTACATAGAAAGATTTAGATATGTAAATTATATATGTATAAAGTATTTTGAACATACATAACTACACAAATCTTATGAGCGATTAGATTTTGGATGATTTTTTTCTTGTTTATTTTATAATTTCCTATCATAAATATGTATTTGTTTGTTTTAATAAGTTATTTAAATATAGCTTTTGCATGTCACAACATTTCAAACATTAGATATTTCACATTAGATATTTAAATTTACCAATTGTAGCACTTTTAAATTATCACTATCAGTTAATTCTGCCTATTTTAACCTAATATTTTGTCAGTAGTTGCAGACTGTTGAAGTGCAGACTGGTTTACAAATAGTGATCATGAGAAATTGTTGTTTCATCTCATCTTTTCCTAATTACTCAACTTTACTAAACTTCTGAAGGTCAGAGGAAGTTTATTGTATTTTGCTGCCTTTTCTCCAGTCTGTTGCATGGCTTTGAGAAGGTTTGCAAAAAAGACTGAGAAGATTGCATAAAAGAACATAAAGGTCCTTGGAAAAGTAAATACTTTTTAAATAGTGCATTATTTTAGCCTTGTTGGAAAAGTTTTATGGTCTTGCAGTTTGTTCCTATTATCTTAGCTACTTATCTCAAACCAAATTATTTCCTTTCTCTTCTGTCTTATTTTTTCCAAAATATGAAATTCATGATTATCTCTCAGTCATATTTTAAGCTACTTTTAAAATATCAACATGTAACACTTCATTTTATGCCTAGTTTAGCAAGGGGAAAGTTTTATCTTCTTTTAATTAGAGATAAGATCTTGCTCTGTCACCCAGGATGGAGTGCAGTGGCACAATCCTAGCTCACTGTAGCCTCAAACTCTTGGGCTCAAGTAATGCCCCAGCCTCAGCTTCCCAATTACCTAGGACTACAGGTGTGTGCCACCATTCTCAGCAGATTTGATTTTTTTTTTTTAAGTCAGCACTTTGCCATGTTGCCCAGGCTAGTCTTAAACACCTGGCTTCAAGTAATCCTCCTGCCTTCACCTCCCAAAGTGCTAGAATTATAAGCATGAGCCAGCACACATGGCAAGTTTTATTTTCTTTATGAAGCAATAGATATTTAGAAGTTTTAGTAATAGTAAAGTATGTAGTAACACTCAGTATACTTTCTAATTAATTGAGAACATCTTATTAACAATGAATGTGCTTCTCACATTTATAGTGCATCTTACCATCTTAGAGTCAAGTTGATTAACTTGATTGGTTAATGAAATACTCAATTAATAAGCAAAAACAAACACAAAACAACAACAACAACACACACACACACACACACACACAGAAAAGAAACTCACACAAAAAACAAAAACACACTCACCTAAATGTTGGGACTAAAAAATTCCCACTTATTTTAAATTTTTGTATATATATACACATACACCATAATAAAGTAGATTTATCAGTTTGGGTTGTACATTAGTAATAAAATGCTTAATAAGTTTATATGGACTACAGTTTACTATTTACAGATAAAAACTATATGGAATGGTTAAATATTAAAGAATGGTAGATTATTTTAATAGCTAATAATTACAATTTGTTTTATTTTTCTGAGTACCTGAATCAACAATTATTGAATGATAATTCTCCTTCCTACAAAGTTTTGTTATGTACCTGCATTAGTTTGTTGTCACACTGCTAAAAAGAAATAATTGAGACTGGGTAATTTATTTAAAAAAAGGATGCTTAATCCACTCACCATTCTGCAGACTCTATAGGAAGCATGCCTGGGGAGGCCTCAGGAAATGTACAGTTATAGTGGAAGGCCAAGGGGAAGAAGGCACAGTTTACATGGCTGGAGCAGGAGGAAGAGACAGAGAGGGGAGGTGTTACACACTTTTAAACAACCAGATCTCAGGATGACTCATTCATTACCATGAAAACAGCACCAAAAGGTAAAGCCACCACCATGATCCAATCACCTCCCACCAGGTCCCACTTCCAACACTGGGGATTACAATTTGACATGACATTTGGGCAGGCACACTGACCCAAACTATATCAATACCATAATAGTTAAACAAGTTGTATAACTTCAAAAAGTTTGTGTAAGTTGAAAAAATATTTTTAAAATTGTTTGCATTATTTTTTTATAAGTCAAATTTGCATACTCAGAATAAACCAAAAAATGCACAATTCTTCATTAAAGAAAGCACATATCTGTAATTTATATCAAAAAACACAGTGAAGTTTGTTTTGTGTTTGAACATCTTAAACTCAAAGTATATAGGCTAACATTTTTATATGTTTCTCAGGAAAAGAGAAATTTCCATTAACTAGTATTCTGATGTTCTGCTTAACTTCACATATCATTTGCAAATAATTTTAATTATTGCTTAATTATGTTGCTTTACATTTGAAGTTATATTTCAATTCATTCTTTGATAAAAATAGATAGAAATCATTGAAAGCACGAACCAATACTTATAAAACTCTTCAATATTTTTTCATAATTTTTTAAACTACAAGTTAAAAATTTTTAAATTCAGACCCTCTCTAGAACTAGGCATCCTTCAATTAAAATATAAAAAACAAAAGATGAAGATGAGTAGAATCAAAGAATAAGTTGCTAAATCTTTTATCTTGTGATAGTTTGCTGAGAATGATGGTTTCCAGTTTCATCCATGTCCCTACAAAGGACATGAACTCATCATTTTTTATGGCTGCATAGTATTCCATGGTGTATATGTGTCACATTTTCTCAATCCAGTCTATCATTGATGGACATTTGGGTTGGTTCCAAGTCTTTGCTATTGTGAGTAGTGCCACAATAAACATACGTGTACATGTATCTTTATAGCAGCGTGATTTATAATCCTTTAGGTATATACCCAGTAATGGGATGGCTGGGTCAAATGGTATTTCTAGTTCTAGATCCCTGAGGAATCGCCACACTGTCTTCCACAATGGTTGAACTAGTTTACAGTCCCACCAATATAACTGTATATCAGATAACTATATTATCTGATAGTCGATATTTAATTCAATAATGATAGTATTAAAAGATATTGAAAAATCAGCAAGGTATTGGTTGAATTACCTAATATGTTTCCACTTTATTATTTCAATCTGAGCCTGTAAAAGACATTATCTTATGTTTGATGTAACAGAAGTAACCTCTTTTACTCCTTGTGAAATAAAATTTGAAACAGCATATTGGTTTGTGTTTATTTTATTCTCCTAACTAAATATAGTTTAATAACATATTTACTTTATTATTACTTGTTTGAAATTTCAAAACATACAAATACTAAGGCAATATGTACACATACACATACCCTCTCCCACTACAAATGTATGTAAATGTCTATTTATATGTAAATTAAACTAAATGTTTTATGTATGTAGGTATATAATCTATTATTATCTATAACTATTTATAGACATAAATTTTTATATATGGCTATGTCTGCATACACACACGTATATATATTTGATTTCATTTTTATCTTACATAGTTTGGTGTCTCTTAGACAAACATCTTTGTGTAAATTAGGTTATTCAGTTATAGGCATATATTTAAAACTGTGAGAAAAAAATCTCTTCTTGATTATGAGCAATACAATATAAAATAAAGTAGATACTAATGTGAAAATATGAAATTCTCTGTTAACATGGGTTGCAATGCAAATCATTGACATATACTCTTATATTAAAACATTTTTTCCTGTTTTTTTCTAGTTGTTACTGTTTTTCGAACTATTTAGGTAGTAAAAACTGTGATAGCTCATTAGCAGATGATTTACTATCTGCACATAGAGTCCAGTGTGGATTCATTCTTGGCACCTGTGATTAAATGCCATTGGAACACATTTCCTCAAGGACATGTTGCAGAAAATGGTTTTGTGCAAATTGCATACATGTACTGTTTAAGGAGAATGATGGATTGGAATCATAGAATAGAAGTAAAAAATTTGATAATTGTTTACAATGTTTCTGCAAATATTGGTTTATTGAAACAGTATTTAGTTCTATGTGTTGTCAGTTATTCTTGGCACTTCATAATTTCTTGGCATAGTTTAAGCTTTGAGTAGAAAACAATTTATGAAACTGTCATATGAAATTGGAGAGAACTAGCTAAACATTTAGTCAGAGCAAAAAGATGTGATGATTTAAAAAAATGTGGCAGCGTAGCTCTCATTTAAGAACAAAATGATTTGCCTTCAATGAACTTTTACTATAATCACAGCCTTGTTCCAATGACAATAGTGCCTCAGATAGGTAAGAAACAATTGATGGTAATATCTGAAAAACTGAACATGGTGCCAGGAAAGGAAAATATATAGAACTAAAACACAGTGTACTATGTATACACATATTTGATGCAATTTGAGATGGCCAATTGATTATACATTATTAAAAGATACGTGTTTAATTCAAGACAAAAAACAGGAACTTAACCAATCTTCAATTTATTTTTTATTCTTTTTGTGATTAGTCAGTAAAACATCATGTGGTACAGCTTAAGAGAGCATTGCATAAGTTGAGCCAACTTTGCAACCTAGGGATAAACCTACTTGATCATGGTGGAAAAGCTTATTGATGTGCTGCTGGATTTGGTTTGCCAGTATTTTTTTTTATACTTTAAGTTCTAGGGTACATGTGCACAATGTGCAGGTTTGTTGCATAGGTATACATGCACCATGTTGGTGTGCTGCACCCATTAACTCGTCATTTACATTAGGTAAATCTCCTAATGTTATCCCTCCTCCCTCCCCCTACCCCATGACAGGCCTGGTGTGTGATGTTCCCCTTCCTGTCTCCATGTGTTCTCATTGTTTAGTTCCCACCTATGAGTGAGAACATGCGGTGTCTGGTTTTTTGTCCTTGGGATAGTTTGCTGAGAATGATAGTTTCCAGCTTCATCCATGTCCCTACAAAGGACATGAACTCATCATTTTTAATGGCTGCATAGTATTACATAGTGTATATGTGCCACATTTTCTTAATCCAGTCTATCATTGATGGACATTTGGGTTGGTTCCAAGTCTTTACTATTGTGAATAGTGCCACAATAAACGTATGTGTACATGTATCTTTATAGCAGCATGATTTATAATCCTTTAGGTATATAACCAGTAATGGGATGGCTAGGTCAAATGGTATTTCTAGTTCTAGATCCCTGAGGAATCGCCACAGTGTCTTCCACAATGGTTGAACTAGTTTACAGTCCCACCAACAGTATAAAAGTGTTCCTATTTCTCCACATCCTCTCCAGCACCTGTTGTTTCTTGACTTTTTAATGATCTCCATTTTAACTGGTGTGAGATGGTATCTCATTGTGGTTTTGATTTGCATTTCTCTGATGGCCAGTGATGGTGAGCATTTTTTCATGTGTCTTTTGGCTGCATAAATGTCTTCTTTTGAGAAGTGTCTGTTCATATCCTTCACCCACTTGTTGATGGGGTTGTTTGTTTGTTTCTTGTAAATTTGTTTCAGTTCTTTGTAGATTCTGGATATTAGCCCTTTGTTAGATGAGTAGATTGCAAAAATTTTCTCCCATTCTGTAGGTTCCCTGTTCACTCTGATGGTAGTTTGTTCTGCTGTGCAGAAGCTCTTTAGTTTAATTAGATCCCATTTGTCAATTTTGGCTTTTGTTGCCATTGCTTTTGGTGTTTTAGACATGAAGTCCTTGCCCATGCCTATGTCCTGAATGGTAATGCCTAGGTTTTCTTCTAGGGTTTTTATGGTTTTAGGTCTAACATTTAAGTCTTTAATCCATCTTGAATTAATTTTTGTATAAGGTGTAAGGAAGGGATTCAGTTTCAGCTTTCTACATATGGCTAGCCAGCACCATTTATTTCCCAGCACCATTTATTAAATAGGGAATCCTTTCCCCATTGCTTGTTTTCATCAGGTTTGTCAAAGATCAGATGGTTGTAGATGTGTGGTATTATTTCTGAGGGCTCTGTTCTGTTCCATTGGTCTATATCTCTGTTTTGGTACCAGTACCATGCTGTTTTGGTTACTATAGTCTTGTTGTATAGTTTGAAGTCAGGTAGCTTGATGCCTCCAGCTTTGTTCTTTTGGCTTAGGATTGTCTTGGCAATACGGGCCCTTTTTTGGTTCCATATGAACATTAAAGTAGTTTTTTCCAATTCTGTGAAGAAAGTCATTGGTAGCTTGATGGGGATGACATTGAATCTATAAATTACTTTGGGCGGTATGGCCATTTTAACGATATTGATTCTTCCTATCCATGAGCATGGAATGTTCTTCCATTTGTTTGTGTCCTTTTTCATTTCGTTGAGCAGTGGTTTGTAGTTGTCCTTGAAGAGGTCCTTCGCATCCCTTGTAAGTTGGATTCCTAGGTATTTTATTCTCTTTGAAGCAATTGTGAATGGGAGTTCACTCATGACTTGGCTCTCTGTCTGTTATTGGTGTATAAGAATGCTTGTGATTTTTGCACAATGATTTTGTATCCTGAGACTTTGTTGAAGTTGTTTATCAGCTTACAGAGATTTTGGGCTGAGACGATGGGGTTTTCTAAATATACAATCATGTCATCTGCAAACAGGGACAATTTGACTACCTCTTTTCCTAATTGAATACACTTTATTTCTTTCTCCTGCCTGATTGCCCTGGCCAGAACTTCTAACACTATGTTGAATAGGAGTGGTGAGAGAGGGCATCCCTGTCTTGTGCCAGTTTTCAAAGGGAATGCTTCCATGTTTTGCCCATTCAGTATGATATTGGCTGTGGGTTTGTCATAAATAGCTCTTATTATTTTGAAATATGTCCCATCAATACCTAATTTATTGAATGTTTTTAGCATGAAGGGCTGGTGAATTTTGTCAAAGGCCTTTTCTGTATCTATTGAGATAATCGTGTGGTTTTTGTCTTGGTTCTGTTTACATGCTGGATTACATTTACTGATTTGTGTATGTTGAACCAGCCTTGCATCCCAGGGATGAGGCCCACTTGATCATAGTGGATAAGCTTTTTGTCAGTATTTTGTTGAGAATATTTTCACTGATGTTCAAGGATATTGACCTAAAGTTTTCTTTTTGGATTTTTTCTGCCAGGCTTGAGTATCAAGACGATGTTGGCCACATAGAATGAGTCCCTCCTTCTCAATTTTTTTGGTATAGTTTCAGCAGCAATGATGCAGTTCTTATCTGTACAACTGGTGGTATTCAGCTATGATACTATTCAGCCATTTTGTCCTGGGATTTTTTTGGTTGGTAGACTATGTATTACTGACTCTATTTCAAATTTAATTATTGGTCTGTTCAGGGATTCAATTTCTTCCTGGTTCAGGCTTGGAAGGGTGTATGTGTCCAGAAATTTATCAATTTCTTGTATATTTTCTAGTTTATGTACACAGAGATGTTCAGAATATTCTCTGATGATTATTTGTATTTCTGTGGGGTCAGTGGTAATATCTTCCTTGTCATTTCTTATTATGTTTATTTGAATCTTATCTTCTTCTTTATTAGTCTAGCTGGTGTCTACATAATTTATTAATATTTTCAAAAAAAACAGCTCCTGGATTCATTGATATTTTGAAGAATTTTTCATGTCTCAATCTCCTTCCATTCATCTGTGATTTTATTTATTTCTTGTTTTCTGCTAGTTTTTGGATTTGTTTTCTCTTGATTTTCTAGTTCTTTTAGTTGTGATGTTAGGTTGTTAAATTTAGATCTTTGTAACTTTTTGATATGGGTATTTAGTGCTATAAATGTCCCTCTTAACACTACCTTAACCATGTCCAAGAGATTCTGGTATATTGTATAATTTTTCTGAGTTTCAAAGAACTTCTTGATTTCTGCCTTAATTTCATTATTTACCCAAAAGTCATTCAACTTCCATGTAATTGTATGATTTTGAGTTAATTGCTTAGTCTTGATTTCTAATTTCATTGTGCTGTGGTCCAAGAGATTTTTTTGGAATAATTTCAGTTCTTTTACATTGGCTGAGGAGTATTTTACTTCCAATTATGTGATCAATTTTTGAGTAAGTGTCATGGGGCAATGACAAAAATGTATATTCTGTTGTTCTTGGGTGGAGAGTTATTTCAATGTCTATCTGGGCCTCTTGATCCAGTGCTGAGTTTAGGTCCTGAATAACTTCATTAATTTTCTGTCTCAATAATCTACTATTGTCAGTGGGGTGTTAAAGTTTCCCACTATTATCATATGTGATTTTAAGTCTCTTTGAAGGTCTCTAAGTACTTGTTTTATAAATCTAAGTGATCCTGTGTTGTGTTCATATATATTTGGAAAGGATAGATCTTCTTGTTGAACTGAACCCTTTACAATTATGCAATGCCCTTCTTTGTCTTTTGTTGTTGTTGTTGGCTTAAAGTATGGTTTGTCTGAAAGTAACATTCCAGCTCTGCTTTTTTTTTCTGACTTTCATTTGCTTGGCAGATTTTTCTCCATCCTTTTATTTTGAGCATATGTGTATCATTACATGTGAGATGGGTCTCTTGAAGACAGCATATACCAATGGGTCTTGGTTCTTTATCTAGTTTGCCACTCTGTGCCTTTTTATTGGGGCATTTTGCCCATTTACATTTAAGGTTAGTATTGATATTTGTCGATTTAATCCTGTCATCATAATGTTAACGGATTATTCTGCAGACTTTTTTTATGTGGTTGTTTTGTAGTGTCACTGGTCTGTGTAGTTCAATGCGTTTTTGTAGTGGCTGGTAATGGTCTTTCCTTTCTATGTTTAGTGCTTCATTCAGGAACTCTTGCAAGACAGATCTGGTGGTAGAAAATTTCCTCAGCAGTTGTTTGCTTGAATAGGATCTTATTTTTCCTTTGCTTATAAGGCTTAGTTTAGCCAGTTATGAAATTATGGGTTGGAATTTCTTTTTTGTTTTTTTTAAGAATGTTGAATATTGGCCCCCATCTCTTCTGACTTGTAGCATTTCTGCTGAGGAGTTTGCTGTTAGTCTGATGAGCTTCCCTTTGTAGGTGACCTGACCTTTCTCTCTAGCTGACTTTAACATTTGTTATTTCATTTCGACCCAGGAGAATCTGATGTTGATGTGTCTTCGGGATTACCTTCTTGTGAAGTATGTTACTGGGGTTCTATACATTTGCTGAATTTGAATGTCGGCCTCTCTACCTAGGTTGGGAAAATTCTTGTAGATGATATCCAAAAATATGTTTTACAAATTGGTTCAACATATGCAAATCAAGAAATGTGATTCATCACATAAACAGAATTAAAGACAAAACCACATGATTACTTCAATAGATGCAGAAAAGGCTTTTGATAAAATTCAACACCCTTTCATGTTAAAAACTCTTAACAAACTAGATATTGAAGGAACATACCCAAAATAATAAGAGCCATCTATGAAAAACCCACAGCCAACATCACACTGAATAGCCAAAAGCCAGAAGCATTTCCTTTGGAAAGCAGCACAAGACATGAATGCCCTCTCTCACCACTCCTATTCAACACAGTATTAGAAGTTCTGGCCAGGGCAATCAAGCAAGAGAAAGAAATAAAGGACATCCAAATAGAAAGACAGAAAGTCAAATTATCCCTGTTTGCAGACGACATGACCTTATATCTGGAAAATAACACAGTCTCGGCCCAAAAGCTTCTTAAGCTGATGAACAACTTCAGCAAAGTCTCAGGACACAAAATCTGTCTGGAAAAATTACTAGCACTCCCATACACCAAGAACAGTCAAGCCAAGAGACAAATCAGGAATGCAATCCCATTCACAATTGCCACAATAAATAAATAAAATACCTAGGAATACAGGTGAACAAGGAGGTGAAAAATCTCTACAAAACACTGGTGAATGAAATCAGAGATGACACAAACAAATGAAAAAACATTTCATGCTCATGGATAGGAAAAACAAGTATCATTAAAATGGCCATACTACCCAAAGCAATTTATAGATTCAATGTTATTTCTATTTAAATACCAATGACATTCTTTGTAGAACTATAATAAACTATTATAAATTAATATGGAACTAAAAAAGAGCCCAAATAGCCAAGGCAGTCCAAAGCAAAAGGAACAAAGCT